>NC_000006.12:5666060-5817575 GCF_000001405.40 Homo sapiens | reverse complement strand
TCTGACTTTAAGAGTGGCACCTGCGGTCTTCTACCTTCAATGCCAGGACTGGCATTACCTTCAATGGCCACTTTGTCAGGCTCCTTTCCTGGGATGAATTTGGCAGCAGCAACAGGGTGGTGGACCTTATGGTCCACATGGCCTCCAAGGAGTAAGACCTCCAGACCACCAGCTCCACCAATAGCACGAGAGGAAGAGTGAGCCCCCAGCTGCTGGGGAGTCATTGCCCCACTCAGGCTCCCCAAAGTCAGTTTCCATTCCAGACTCCTGGAGGAAGGACAGGGGCTTAGGGAGCTCCAGCTTGTCATGCACCATCAATGAAGTATACCGTCCCCAGCCAAAACAAAAAGGTCACATAACTTAACATGGGCAAGAGTCCTCTCACATGATTCATGGTATTGAGCATTAGGTTAGTAGAACAGAAGAGTGGTCCAGTTTCTAAAGTTTCTAATCATGTGTATACTGATAAAAGTGAAATCATTACAGTTGGTCATTAGTTGATGTGATGCTATGGTGTCTTTTGATGGAAGTGCTGCCATAAACCTTTCCCTCTGGCCAATCCCCAAGACCAGGCTGCTCCAGAGGGACTTTTGAGAAGAATAAGACTCCAAAGACATTGAGAATCCCCCAGTCCAAAGGAGCCCTCCTTAGCTCAAGGTTGCCTAGAACTCCAGCCCTCTTCTCCCAGGCGTTATGGGGCTGATGTTCCTGGGAGTGTCCGTGTCACAGTGTGAGTAGCTATGCACCTAGTGGGACTGTGTTGCACCTGTTCCTGAGAGCAGGTGTGATAGGAAACAGCAGGACGAAGGGCGGCACGCAGGCACGTGGTGGTGAGAAGGCACTGGCACATCCCTCCCACCTGCAGGTTGGGCTTGCTGTAGGAGAGGCATGGTCTCCAGAGGACCCCTCCCTTCACCAGTGTGCGGAATACTCGGTCAGTCCTGAATATTACAGCCACACCCTAGCCAGGGCCCCTGCCACCTGAGGCAGAGGCTGAGTGTGTGAGGATGGAGTTCCCATAGCCTGCTGGCAAACTCTTTGAGAGCATACACATCCTAAGAGCAAAGGAAAAGAATTCACGCCAAAATCCATGCTAGCCTATGTCCCTCTCTTCTCAAAACTGCTTTGGGAGCTTTAGTTCTTGGAGAAACCACACTTTTCGGATCCAATTTCAAGACTTTCCACATGTCCCTTGTAAATGAGGATGTGCACTTCTTGAGCCTGAACAGTTTGTAAAAAGGCCACTGAACAGTTGGTCATTCCAGGGACAGTGTCAGAAAAGCAGGTGGTCTTCCTGGGAAGCCAAGGGGTGGCACACCCCTGCAGGGGTTCATTCTATGCATGGCACATTTAAGTCAAAGCTCTCCACACACAGGGTTCAAAAGAACAAGCTCTGGGATATTTTGCAGACCAGCAAAGGGTTCCCATGATGTGGGCAACTCTCACTCACATCCTTGGAGGCATCAGCAGGGCTGGCTGGGATGCAGGCTGCAGCTTGTGCTGGAAGTGATATTCACTCTCAGAAGGAAACCTGGACCACTTCTCCCTTTGAGAATGTTGGAGTGTGGTGGAAAGAGCTGGATGTCCAGAGTCATGAGACCTTCTGGGTACAACCCTATGGTCGTATCTTCATCTCAGAGCAAATGCAAATGCCTTGTGGTGCCTACCACCCTGGAGGGTATGAGGATCAGAGGATGTGCTTTGGAAACACCTTGAAACTGTATAGAGCTTTTTGGATATAAGTTTGATACTGCCTGATCTCCCAGTGGCCCTTTGGGAGGAAATGGGATCACTGTTGAACCCAATGCAACTCTCAGAGAAGTCAAGACACAGGGTAAATTGGTTGTAGAGGCCCCTCGTGCCTGTCCCACACATCACAGATGCAATCCTTTTTTCGGGTTGCATGAGGCAGGTCTCCATGGCTTCCAAAACAATGAATCCTCCAAGGTCAAATATATTTTTAAAGTTCTCATCAGAGTTCCTTGAGAAAGGGAACTTTGTTTTCAGTGTCTCTTTTTGCAGAGGATAAATAATACTACTGATAAAATTGCTGGTTCTGTGGGTAGACCTGTGATGCTGGGTTCACATGACCTTGCAGGCCTTTGAGTCGCTGGAAGCTGTTGCCTTCCAGAGGGACTCCTGCACCCCAGGGCTGTGCAGGAGGAAAGAGGGAGCCCATGGGAGCGGGGTCACATTGTGAAGGGCCAGCCAACCCCTCGGACGGTCCTGGCTCCCCCGAAGACACATGACAACGCTCCTTATAAATAGGCTCCTCCAACTCAGGCGGTTGACAGTTTCAAGAAATCCGTTAGAAGAAACAGGCAGAGTTGTGATGCTGGCAAAGTTCTAGGGCTTTTTTTTATTCTTCTTCCCTGTTTTAACTGTTAAAATTTATCTCCGACATTGCACAAACGAATGAAATCAACAGCCTCTTATCAGATCCCAAATCTGTCAGCCAATGTCTACCAGCCACTTGGAGCCAAAAGCCTCTTAGCACATGTGTGACTTGAGCTGAGAAGGGACCGGGACAGGAGCGCAGGCAGCTTTGTTCTGGCACCCTCGTTCCTAAACATTTGCTCATTTAGAGCCCAGGAGGCAGCCGTGCCTCCACTGCCTCTGATCTCAGTTCTGTGGGCTTCCAGACAGGGTTCAAGCACCTCCCTGACAAGGCTTCGTCTCTTTCTTCAGTCATCAACCACCACCCATGGCCGTAGGGGCCAGTGGCCAAATTCTATGCCATCCTCCTAGCCTTTCATGCATGCCCAGGTCTCCATGGGGTGGGAAAAGTTAGAGGTACTGCTGTGAACCCACAGTTGCCTTAAATGGCTTGGGCTGAACAGGTAGAGAAAGAAGCCCAGCCATCCCTGGGGCACGGTCACCCTGGCACCCACCTTGGGCTGAGCACTTTCATGACTGGAAGCTTTGGAGAGCAAGTCCTTGAGGAGTACCTCTGGCTGGGCTGGCTCCAGGAGTTTCTGATCCTGGACAGATCCCAGGGTGCATCTCTCCAAGACATGTCTGTTCCCATGACATCAGGAGGAAAAAGACATAAGACTTAACGTAAGTTTCCCTAGAGTTCATCTGGGTTAATCTATCTATGTATTCCTGGGGTCAGCACATGAAAACTACCAATATTAATAACTACCACACATGGGGCATCTCCCATGTGTCCGGCACTTTTTATACAAGCATAGCTGATTTTATTGCACTTCGCTTTATTGCACTTTGCCGAGATTGCATTTTTTACAAACTGAAGGTTTATGGCAACACGGCATTGAGCAAGTCTATAGGTGCTCACTTCCTGTCTCTGTGTCACACTTTGGTAGTTTTTGCAATATTTCAACCTTTTTCATTGTTATTATATCTGTTATGCTCATCTACAATCAGTGATCTTTGGTGTTACTACTGTAATTATTTTTGGGCACGATAAACCACACCCATATAAGACAATGAATTAATCAATTAATGTTGTGTGTGTTCTGACTGCTCCACTGAGGCTGTTCCACCTGTCTCTCTCTCTCTCTCCCCTTAAGCCTCGCTATTCCCTAAGACACAACAATATTGAAATTGAAATTAGGCTAATTAATAACCCTACAATGGCCTCTAAGTATTCAAGTGAAAGAGAAAGTGGTATGTCTCTCAACTTTAATCAAAAGCTAGAAATGATTAAGCTTAGTGAGGAAGGCATGTTGAAAGCCAAGAGAGGCTGAAACCTCGCCCTCTTGTGCCAAACAGCCAGGCTGCGAATATTAAGAAAAAGTTCTTGAAAAAAATGAAAAGTGCTACTGCAGTGAACATACGAGTGATAAGAAAGTGAAACAGCCTTATGGCTGATATGGAGAAAGTTTGCATGGTGTGGATAGAAGATCAAACCAACCACAACATCCCCTTAAGCCAAAGCCTAATCCAGAGCAAGGCCCTAACTCTTTGGTTCTATTAAGGCTGACAGAGGTGAGGAAGCTGCAGAAGAGAAGTTGGAACCTAGTAGAGGTTGGTTCATGAGGTTTAAGGAAAGAAGCCGTCTCCGTAAAATCAAGTGCAAGATGAGGCAGCAAGCACTCCAGATCTTGCTAAGACCATTGATATGAAGGTCACTACACTAAACAACAGATTTTTCATGTAGATGAAAGAGCCTTCTATTGGAAGAAAATGCCACCTAGACTTTCATAGCTAGAAAGAAGAAGTCAATGCCTGGCTTCAGAGCTTCAAAGGACAAGCTGACTGTCTTGTCAGGGGCTAATGCAGCTGGTGACTTGAAGTTGAAGCCAGTCCTCACGTACCATTCAAAAATCCTAGAGCACTTAAACTTATGCTAAATCTACTCTGCCTGTGCTTTATAAATGGAACAACAAAGCCTGGATGTCAGTACATCTGTTTACATCATGATTTACTGAATATTTTAAACCCACTGTTGAGATCCTCTGCTCAGAAAAAAAAAAAAAAAAAGATTTTTTCAAAATATGACTGCTCATTGAGCACCGGGTCACCCAAGAGCTCTGACGGAGATGTACAAGGAGACGAATGTTTCCATGTCTGTTAACATCCATTTTGAAGCCCAGGAATCAAGGAATCATTTTGACTTTCAATTCTTATTATTTAAAAAATACAGTTTGTAAGGCTGTAGCTTCCACAGATAGTGATTCCTCTGATGGATCTCGACAAAAGAAATTAAACTCTTCTGAAAAGAATTCACTATTCTGGGTGCCATTAAGAACATTCATGATTCATCGGAAGAGGTCAAATACCAACACTAACAGGAGTCTGGAAGAAGTTGATTCCAACCCCGGATGACTTTGAGAGGCTCAATTGAGACTTGGTCAATTTACCAGAGGAAGTCACTGCAGATGTGGTGGAAATAGCAATAGAACTATAATGAAAAGTGGAGCCCGAAGATGTGACTGAATTGCTGCAATCTCAGGATAAAGTTTAAGTAGGTGAGGAGTTGCTTTACATGGATGGGCAAAGAAAGTGGTTTCTTGAGACAGAATCTACTCCTGGTGAAGATGCCGTGAACATTGTCGAAATGACAACAAAGGATTTAGAATGTTACGTCGACTCAGTTGAGAAGGCAGTGGCAGGGCTTGAGAGGATGGACTCCAATTTGGAAAGAAGTTCTACTGTGGGTGAAATGCTGTCAAACAGCATCATGTGCTACAGAGACATCTTTCGTGAAAGGAAGAGTCAATTGCCGAGGCAAACTTCATTGTTGTCTTATTTTAAGAAATTGCCACAGCCACCCCCACCTTTGGCAACCACTACTCTGATCAGTTAGCAGCCATCCACAGTGAAGCAAGACCCTCCACCAGCAAAAAGATTATGACTCACTGAAGGCTCAGATGAAGTCTAAGACGTCACCACCTGGCACATCCTTGTCCTCACCCTTAGCAGGCTGAGCCCTGAGGCTGCCTCTGAGGGAAACACAAGACACTGGCGTGTCTGTGCCACTGGCACCCCACATCAGACAGACAGACAGCCCGATGGGAGGTACAGACCTGATGGGGAGGCCTGGTGGACAGCACAGGAGAGCTCAGCCAGCCACATTCATTGAGCCCTTATTGCAATCCCAGCCCCATGCTACACCCTGAAAGGGTTTGAGAAGAGACAGAGGTGGATGATCCAGACTTAGCCTCCTGAAGAATGAATAAGCAAGTGCTTACCTGTGTTTTAAGGGTCCCCAGGATCTGTCTTAATTAAGGATGATAAGGTACACAGACACAAAAACGACTGTCATGAAGGAAGAAGTCTATTCTGCTCATACATCCCTAGAAACAGGAGGCCCAGCACAGCACACAGGGCCTCAAAAGAGACACTGGGCCAGTCAGGAACAGAGGGAGAGGGAGGAACTGTGGGCTGGAGCCTTTGTATCGTTTCCACAGGAGGAGTGGGTGAGTGGAGCACACAGGCTTAGGATCATCTAGTTTAACTGATTTCAGGGCTCTGGGGCAGATGACTATCCCTAATGTCTGGGAATGGCCCTGGGGTGACTAAGGCAGGTGGATGGATAGTCGCCCTCATGTGAGAGCCTGATAGGGAAGGTGGTTGGGTGTGGGCTCTGGATTGGTGGGTTTTCATATGAAGGTGAACTCGCAGAGGAGTTTGCTATCTCTAGGAATTAGCTAGGCCTGGGAGGGGCAGTTCCCCCAGGGTCAGCAAGGCCCCAGATGTCAAAGTATCATGAATGAATACAGAAAAGTAAAGACATAAGTAATACACCCAATGCCTGAGGACCCATCAAGGCAGAGGTCTGCCCTGGGCAGTGGACGTCCCAGAAAGCACAATAATGTTCATTTATTTAAAACATAGGTCATATCCAGGATAATGCATTTTTGGGATGTTAAACCAGAAAGAATATGCTTCTATCAACATCCATCACCACTGCCTCCCTTCATTAGTGTTGCTACCAGGTAGAGAGGGGCCTTTAGTGCCAGGGCTATGACAGCCCCTGCATGGCTGGCCCTACCCTGCCTGCCTCTGCAACCACATCCTTGCCAGACCCTTTTGCTGCAATCCCTCTAGCACACCAGGCTCCTCCTGGCCCCGGGGCCTTTGCACCTGCTGTGCCCGTGCCCAGCGGATCCCTCAGCTTACCCACCACAGCCCCTGGCCTGGGAAACTTTTACTCCTGCTTCAGGTCTCAGCTTGAAATCAGGCCCATCTTCCCTGACTGTCACCCCCTGAACATGAGTTTCCCAGGGCTGCTCTAAGCTTCTCTCACAATTACTCTTTCACTGGTTCATGTACCACTGAAGTGTTGATCTCTCTGAGCCAGATTTCTCTGCTGTAGTCCAGAAATCAAATTTTCCTGTAGACTCTATCTCTATACATCAAACACATCAGGGTTCTCTAGAGAAACAGAACCAATGTTGTGTGTGTGTGTGTGTGTGTGTGTAAATACCTTTATTACAAGAAACTGGTTCACATGACTGTGGAGGCTGAGAAGTTCCAGATCTGTGGTCAGCCAGCAGGAGACCCAGGAGAGCCATTAGTGTAGCTCCAGTCCAGGGACAGAAGAAGACCCGTGTCCCAGCTCAGAGGTCAGGCATGAGGAAGAGTTCCCTCTCACTCAGCCTTTTGGTTCTACTCAGGTCTTCAGTTAATTGGACCAGGCCCACACACACTGGGGAGGGCCCTCCGCTTTCTTCGGTCCACTGATTCCAGTGTTAACCTCATCCAAAACTTCCCTCACAGACATGCCCAGAATAATGTTTGACCCAATACCTGGGCACCCAGTGGCCCAGCCAAGATGGCACGTTAAATTGTCCATCACACTATCTTAATGTTTCACAGTCTACTGGAGCTCAAAATGTCAGATATTGACCTCAGTACCTTCCCCCTCTCTCAGCACAAACCCCTGCATTTTCTGCCGTCTACAACACCTCTCAGCCCCACGCCCACCTCCCAGCCCCACCAGGCCAGGCTTGCTTTGGGTCTCATGACATCCTGAGTTCCAGCCACTGCCTGTGTGGCCTCAGGCCAGCAGCATTTCCTCCCTGCACTTTTCCCCACATGACACCTTTCTGTCTGTCTGATGTCAGGCTCTTGCCTAAAATCTGTCTGAGGTCTCCTCTCAGGGTGAAATTTCCACTCATGAGCCTGTCATGGAGGCCTGCCTAACAGAGCCCTGACCTGCCCCTTCAGGCCCATTTTATCTGCCACCCCAGGAGCCACCTGCAGTTCTGAACACCTCTGGCCTCTTTATACCTCTGTACTGCACCTTCCTTCCCCTCTCTCTGCCTCCTCCCTCCAGTAACCCCAGTCCCACCAAATACTCACAGCCATCTGAACTGAACTCACCACACACACACCACAGGTGTTCCTTCTCCTTCCCCTTAACCCCTTTTCAAATATTACCACCCTTCATAGCATGAATGGATTCCATCGCATGCACCTGCACACATCCACAAGCACATTCACAGAGCACTGCATGGAGCTACCTGCACCGATGGCTCGGGAGGCCCCCCTACTGGTTTTGACTTATGATGTAGTTTATGTCCTTGGGTGGAGGACACTTTGCAAAAGACACAGCCTCCATTCCTGCACACCCAGCCACCACCACGAGGCTAGGAGGGTGGGGAACAGGGGATCCTCATTCTTTATTCATAGCCTCATGAACTTCAGGGAGCACAGGCAGCATTATCCCCAGGAGGGTTGCTCCTTCTTTCCTTCTTTCCTTCCTTCCTTCCTTCCTTCCTTCCTTCCTTCCTTCCTTCCTTCTTTCCCTCCCTCCCTCCCTCCTTCCTTCCTTCCCTCCTTCCTTCAACAAACATATTCGGAAAGTGTATTTCATGACTAGCACTGTGCCAAACACTGGAGATAATAAAGAAAAATAGCACTGGGCCTATAATTGGGAGTCCAGATATATGATACAGAAATGCAACTGACAATGCAAGGAGCAAGAGGACTCGCACAGTGGTGCATGGCAGCTTGCTGTCATTTTCTGGGCACAGAAAGCGCTGATGGAAGGGAAGGAGAAGGGGAAAAAGGAAGGATGACAGGACGGAAGGAGGGAAAGAAGGAAGAGCAAACAAGAAAGGACAGGAGGAAGGGAGGAAGCCTTCTGCAAAAAAATTAAAATCAAATTTTTGACATTCTTTTTATTTGCCTTTTTTGAAACAAAATGACACTTGCCAGACACCAGCTTCCTGGCCTATGTCCTGGCCCCTGGTATCTGGATGACAGCAGCGTGATCCTCCTGTGAGGTCCTTCCTTGCCCTCTGATCTGAGTTCCTGAAAGCAGAGAGCCACTCAGGAACTGCTGTCCCTCAGCCCAGCTGGCTGGTGACGGGCTTTTGAAGACTCTGCGCTCTCTCCTGCTGGAAGAGCTCCCCAGGGTCGACCAGGAGCCAGGTGATCACTTTCAGCCTCTGTGAGCTACTGGAGATCACCAAACCTTCCAATACCTCGGGCAGGTGCCAGGGCCTTTAAGGAGGCTTTCTGCTCTGTGGGGATGTTCTGCAGGCTCCAGTATTCTGGCAAGCATCAGCTTATTCTGGGCTTAGTCTTCTTGCTCTATCACTCCTGCCTCTGTTTTGCTTCGTTTTGGTGATGCCCTGTTTCCATCTTATGACGAGGGCCTCTACAATCTAAGCTCTGCACAAACCCCAGGGGTTGTTAGGGGCATTAGAGAAGGGCTGTGTGTTGGCCACTTGGTTGGATTTTACATCCCTTGGACTTGAATACTTATAATTTAAATTTGAGTCTCTGTCAGTGTAACTCTTATATATTTTCTTTTTTAAAATTTCTTTCCCCAAAGTCTAGGGTATATGTATATATGCTCAGCACCATGAATCTGTTCTAAAATTTTCCTTTCTGCCAAGATTCTTACACAATTCATCTTCAGAGATCAACAATAAATCCAAATCAGAGTTCCCTTTATTGCTTCCTCTTTTTGCTTTTCATTTTATAACTAATTCAATATTTATTTGGAAATATTGTGAAATATTTAAAATGTACACAATGCATATAGAATAATTCAATGAACTACTGTATATCCACCATCCAACGGAAGAAATAAAACATTATCAGTACGTTGGAAGCCCTCAGGGTACCCAGTCCCAGGCTGCACACTGACCTCCCCACAAGCAGATAAACACCACCACGAAATTAGGGTTTATAATCATTATACTTTTCTTTATACCTTTAGTACATATGCTTGTATCTCTAAGTAGTATGTAGTGTATTAAGTTGTTCTTGCTTTGATATAAAGAAATTCCCGAGACCGGATAATTTATAAGAAAAACAGGTTAATTGTCTCATGGTCCTGCAGGCTATACAGGAAGCACAGTGCCAACATCTGCTTCTGGGGAGGCCTTGGGAAGCTTACAATCATGGCAGCAGACAAAGAGGGAGCAAGAGTGGCAGGGGAGGTGCCACACTTTTTAAACAACCAGATCTCATGAGAACTTGCTCGCTAGCCTAAGAACAGCATCAAACCATGAGGGATCTATCCCCATGACCAAAACACCTCCCACCAGGCCCTACCTCCAGCACTGGGGATTACATTTCAACAAGAGATGTCAGTGGGGACAAATATCCAAACAATATCATTGAGCCTCTGCCCCCTCCCCATGTCCTTACATTGCAAGATACAATCAGGACTTCTCAATTGTCCCCCAAAATCTTAACTCATTCCAGCATTAACTCAAAAGTCCCAAGTCCAAAGTCTCATCTAGAATGAGTTCCTTTCACCTACGAGCCTATACAAGCAAAACGAGTTATTTACTTCCAAGATACAATGAGGGTACAGACATTAGGTAAATACTCCCATCCCAAAAGGGAGAAATCAGACAAAAGAAAGGAGCTACAGGCCCCATGCAAGTTTAGACCTACCAGGGCAGTCACTAAGTCTTAAAGCTTCAAAATAATCTCTTTTGACTGCATGTCCCACATTCTGGGCACGTGGTATGCTGGGTGGTCTCCCAAGGCCTTGAGGAGCTTTGACCCTGTGGCTTTGCTGGGTTCAGCCCCTGAAGCTGCTCTCACAGCTTATTGAGTGCCTGCCACTTTTCCATGTGCAGGATGCAAGCTGCTGGTGGATCTACCATTCTGGCATCTGAAGGATGGTGACCCTCCTTCTCACAGCTCCACTAGGCAGTGCCCCACTGGGGACTCTGTGTGGGGGCTCCAATCCCACAATTCTCCTCTGCACTGCCCTAGTAGAGTATCTCCATGAGGGCTCTGCCCCTGCAGCAGGCTTCTGCCTCAGCATTCAGGCTTTCCCATACATCCTCTGAAATCTAGGCAGAGGCTGCCAAGCCTCCTTCACTCTTGAACTCTGTGTGTCTGCAGGCTTAAAACCCCATGGAAGCTGCCAAGGTTTATGGCTTGCATTCTCCAAAGTGGCAGCCCAAGCTGTACCTGGGGTCCTCTGAGCTGAGGCTGAAGCTGGGGTGGCCTGAATGTGAGAAGCAGTGTACTGAGGCTGCACAGGGCAGAGGGGCCTTGGACCTGGCCCACAAAGCCATTCAGTCCTCCTGGGCCTCTGGGCCTGTGATGGGAGGAGCTGTCTCAGAGACTTCTGAAAAGCCCTAGAGGCCTTTTTCCTATTGTCTTGGATATTAGCACTTGGCTCCCTTTTAGTTATGCAAATGTCTCTAGCAAGTGGTTTCTCCGCAGCCTGCTTGAGTTCCTCCCCTGAAAACAGGCTTTTCTTTTGTACCATATGTCCAGGTGGCAAATTTTCCAAATTTTTATTCTTTGTTTCCCTAAGTTCCAACTTTAGGGCATTTCTTTGCTCCCACATCTGAGCATAGTTCATTAGAAGCAACCAAGCCACATCTTGAATGCTTTGCTGCTTAGATATTTCTGCCACATACCCAAAATTATCACTCTTAAGTTCAAATTTCCACAGATCCTTGGGGCATAGACATAATGCAGCCAAGTTCTTTGTTAAGGCATAACACTCATGACCTTTGCTCCAGTTCCCAATAAGTTCCTCACTTCAATCTCAGACCTCAGCAGCCTGGACTTCACTGTCTATATCATTATCAGCATTTTGGTCACAACCATTTACCCAGACTCTAAGAAGCAGCAAATTTCCCTCATCTTCCTGTCTTCTTCTGAGTCCTCCAAACTCTTCCAACCTCTGCACGTTACCCAGTTCCAAAGCTACTTCCACATCATCAGGTATCTTAATAGTAATGCCCCACTCCTCAGTACCAATTTTCTGTATTAAGCCATTCTTGCATTGCTATAAATAAATACCTGAGACTGGATAATTTATAAGAAAATAGGCTTAATTGGCTCATGGTTCTTCAGGCTATACAGGAAGCCTACTGCCAACATCTGTTTCTGGGAAGACTTCAGGAAGCTTATGATCATCACAAAAGGCAAAGGGGGAGCAAGAGTGGTGGGGGAGATGCCACACTTTTAAAAAGCCATATCTCATGAGAATTCACTGGCTAGCCTAAGAACAGCATCAAGCCACGAGGGATCCATCCCACTGACCCAAACATCTCCCAGCAGGCCTCACCTCCAGGACTGGGGATTACATTTGGTATTAGTCTGTTTTCATACTGCTATAAGGAACTGCCAGAGACTGGGCAAATTATAAAGGAAAGAGGTTTAATTGACTCACAGTTCAGCATGGCTGGGGAAGCCTCAGGAAACTTACAATCACGGCAGAAGGCAAAGAGGAAGCAGGGCACCTTCTTCACAAGGCAGCAGGAAGCAGAAGTGCAGAGCAAAGGGGGAAGAACCCCTTATAAAACCATCAGATCTTGTGAGAACTCCCTCACTATCACGAGAACAGCAAGGGGGAAACTGTCACCGTGATTCAATTGCCTCCACCTGGTCTCTCCCTTGACACATTGGGATTATGGAGATTGAAATTCAAGATGAGATTTGTGTGAGGACACAAAGCCTGACTAGATCACATTTCAACAAGATATTTAAGTGAGTACAAATATTTAAACTGTATTATGTAATATTGTTTTTTATGTTTTATACTTATTAGAAATAAATCTTGATATACGTATTCTTCTGCAACTTTTCTTACTCAACACATTTTTGAAATTCATGCATGCTAATATATATAACACTAGTGCATGCATTTTCATTGCTGCATACTACCCTCTTATATGACTATATCATGCTTCACGTACATATTACTCTACAGATGAACATTTAAGATGTTTCCAGTTTGCTGTTGGGATTTTGTTTTGTAATTCAAAGAATGTTGCTATAAACATCCTTTGATTGTCTTTGCATTCCTAGGAAAAGCTCAATGTGGTCATGATGTGCTTTTATTTTTATAAGTTACTCTATTTGACTTGAAACTTTACACAGGGACTTGCAGTCATGGGTGGCAGGTGGCCTTTTCCAAGAGTCAGGAACCTCCTTGAAGGGCCATGTATAATTCAAGGGGGGGTGGCATGACCAGCCCGTCATGCCTGTTCCTGGCCCCCAACCCAAACCTCTCTGTGCTCCCGTCCCCATCAAAGACACCCTTCACCCCTAGCCACAGAGCCCTGCTCACATCTGGAACAGCCCTCCCCTCCCCAGCTAGGTCACTGCCTTGTGGCTGTGCCTGCCTCTCCTCCTGTGTCTGTGTCTCAGTCATCTGCTGTAAAGCCCATATTTACCCAGTGTCCATGTTCACATCTCCACCCTGAGGGCAGCTGGAGAACATGTCTCCTACACAGCCAGGTGCTGCCGTGCATGTGCATGTGAAGTCGGGCTGCCTGGGATGCTCCCTCTTTGAAGGCTCTGCAGAGATGACTGGGCTGGGGAAGCAGGTGCTTGCTGGCCATGGAGCCTCATTGCAAGTTGTTCTTGAACACCTGAGCCCTTGCTGGTGCCCACCAGGCACTATGGCTTCCTCTCCAGAATGTGGCTTTGCCTGGGCACAGACAGAACCAGCTTGGGATGCTCTTGGCCAAGGGTATTGGGGGCCCTCTGGCCTTTTGCAACTGATCCAAAGATACCCAGAGCCAACTTACCTCAACCTCACCCTTATGGAAGACTCACCTGCGTGCAGATTGTCCTCACACCCTGTCCTCACAGGGAAAGGCAGATTGAAGCTGCTGAGTCCACCTTGATCACACAGACAGAGCCTGTGCCAGATCTGGCCCTGTCAAGGGGACCAGTGCCTTGTTTTCAACACTCCTTCCTACTTCTACTGTTCCTGCTTCTAAAATAAACAGGACTTGATCACAAAAAAAGAGAGGCAGAGAGAGAGCTTAATTTGGGAGAGACAGAAGTCCAACCTTATTGAGAGGTGATGGGAAACCTGGATGAGAAGTACACATTCTTTAAGTGAACACAAGGATTTGCAAGAATAATAATTTGGCAGAGTGCTATTTTAAGATATTAATATGAGAGAGAGAGAGAGAGAGAGAGAGAAGCTATGTGCTTAATGCTGTAAATAGGGCCTGCAACCAAAGAAACTCACTTACTGATTCTTTATTTTGTAGGAAACCATAATCACTTAGGGAAAGGGAATTCACAGAGCACCTTGAGAAAACCTAAAGGAAGAGAGAAGCATGCAGGCTTAAAAGAAATGCTCCTGCCACTTCTGCCACCGCCCCCCACCAAGCCCAGGCTGCCCCTCAGACAGGTTGATCAACTCCAGGAAGGAAATGGCCACCGTCCAGACGGATGGGGCTACAGGCCCATGCACAGAGTTCCTTTCCTCTGGTGTGATATGGGAGCGACAGTCACCAGGCATCCCAGCTGTATCCTGTGTGTACTGATGTCAAAGACCAAATGGATGCCCCTGTGGCCAACAGTACCTTGTTAAACCCCATGATTGCAGTCCAGTGCTAAGGAAGGGGGGAACCCCCCAGGAACAACCATCATTATGTTTTTTATCTGACTGAATAGAAGTTCAGAGTTAGAAAATGTGAAAAGCTATATATTTTTGCACACCCAGTTTGTGGGCTACGCGCATCATGAAGTGGTAGATTCTACTGTTCTGTCTTGTTAGCCCAAAGCTGTAAAGAAGGCTGTTATTGCAAACTACAGACAACGCACTTGGTAGAAAGCAGCAACATCCTGAATTCTGGTCTTGCAAGGACATACCCAAACAACAGCAGCGACCCACCCACCTCAGGACCCAGTTCTCAGCCTCTGTGTGGCTGGCTTTTAAAGCTAAGAAAAGCCGGTAGGAATGTAGAAATCCAGTGAGAAGAAAGCCATGGACGCTTCTGAGCACCCTGTGAGTAGCTAGGAGCAACATGTTCCCAGGTCCTGAAACTTCCACAGTAATAAGTCTGGCAGCGGTGGTGTCATGCCGGGGATGGAGCATGTGAGCTTGAGACACCTTGTTCCTACTTTCTACAAGGCCATAATAATCATCCTATTAGGCCTCAGCGCATTTCCCACAGGGGCCCTGGTGGGCTTGTGTGGCAGTGACATTTGACACAACCATTATTATTTTTTGGATGCATTTGGAACACGCTGGTAGTTCTATTGTATTAAAGAAACATGGAAATAAATTCGTCTCAGAAAAAAGATCAAACCATGAAGTCACACAGAAAAAGGAATGGACCAGAATGTTCTGTGTTGCGCTTGGTGCTGATTCCTGAGGTTAATAGTTAAATTGTCTTTTAAAGCCATTTTCTTTCTTCTCCCTATTTTTAACTAATTCTATTCAACCATCTAGCTCAGATTCAGGACTGTTAACCTGGAAAAGAGGGGAAATGCAGAGGTCTCCTTGGTAACTATGTCTGAACGCAGGCTGGAGTTGCTACCTCCAGTGGATCTGAGCAGAGTGCTTCTGAATCACTCTTGTTGCTCAGCGCCCAGCAGCTTTGCCTGGGGGCATCAAGAAAGGTTTAGAAAGATGAGCACCAAACACCCCTGTGTTCAGAGGACCATCTATGCCTGGGTGACACAGCCCTGCTTCTCCCTCGGGATTTTAAAATTTGCTCCTATCTGTTGCAAATCTGCCTTTCTCTCTGCTTTATCCTCAAATCTCTACTTAGATCATCAGAAACTTTTTCAGAAATAAAATAGCACCCTTTAACTCAGAAATTCCCACCTGGGAATCTAGCCCAAACAAATGAATCCACAAGATAATAAAAGCTGTATGCACGAAGATGTTCATTGCAGAATTTTTTATACTCATGACAAACAGAGACAGGTTAAATGACAGGAAGATGATTATATGAATTGTGGTATATCCAGGCAATATAGTATTACACTCAACAAAAGTATAACTAACACTATGTGGCAACAGAGAACAACACTTCTTACAATCTTAAGTTTTAAAAGAATACATGATTATAGGAAGTAAAAGATATAGGCCAGGCATGGTGGCTCACGCCTGTAATCCCAGCACTTTGGGAGGCTGAGGTGGGCAGATCACCTGAGGTCAGGAGTTTGAGACCAGCCTGGCCAACATAGCGAAACCCTGTCTCTATTAAAAATACAAAAATTAGCTGGGCCTGGTGGTGGGCGCCTGTAATCCCAGCTACTCGGGAGGCTGAGGTAGGAGAATCACTTGAACCCAGGAGGCGGAGGTTGCACATATATATACACACACACACACACACACACACACACACACACACACACACACAAAGTGCCAGAAAGGAATGCACAAAATAACACTAGTAATGCTAGGTGAGTAGCTGTAAACATGAATTCCCTTCTGATGTATGATTAATAAAATAAATAGCACCCTGAGCTTCTTAAAATATAAACCAAATGTCATAATTATTTAGAAAAATCTAACTATTCTTATGATTTCTTTTTAACTAAGCCTGTTAGGTATGGGGCCAAGTGAGTGAGAAAAGATTGAAAGTTGAGCCTTTTCAAATTTGAAGAAGGATTTCTTTTCACCAAAAGCAGTAAAATTGCTCTTTTTCTTCTACCCTCATTTTGTTTTAGTTTCTCTGAGTTAAATGTTTTTATTATCTATTTTTTTAAAATGCTGCTTTCCATGCAGACTTTACATCTCTAGATAACTATTGTCCAATTAGCCCTCTTATCCTCGCTGCATCAAGCTGGTCCTTCTCTCTCACCACTGCAGGCTCAGAAAATCATTGCATGTTAGCTGGGCATGATGGCCCAAACCTGTAGCCTCAGCTACGGGGGAGGCTGAGATGGGGGGATCACTTGAGCCCAGGATTTCCAGGCTGTAGTGCATGACGATGGTGCCTCTGAATAACCACTGAACTACAGCCTGGGCAACATAGCAAGACCCTGTCTCTTAAACGTTAACTAATCAATTAAAATTAAAAGAAAATCATTGCATGTTAGAACTGTAAAGGATGAGGCCAGGCATGGTGGCTCACACCTGTAATCCCAGCACTTTGGGAGGCTGAGGCGGATGGATCATCTGAGGTTAGGTGTTCGAGACCAGCCTGGTAAACATGGAGAAACCCCGTCTCTACTGAAAACACAAAAATTAGCCAGGTGTGGTGGTGGGCACCAGTAATCCCAGCTACTCAGGAGGCTGAGGCAGGAGAATCACTTGAACCCAGGAGGTGGAGGTTGCAGTGAGCCAAGATCATGCCACGGCACTCCAGCCTGGGCGACAGAGTGAGACTCCAACTCCAAAAACTAAAAATAAAAAGAACTGTAAAGGATGCTAGAATTCTTCTGTTCAAGGTTTCTCAAACTAGGGTCAGTTGGAGATAGGAAGGCATATGGCTTTGTTGTTATGTAGTCCTTCAATTTACTTTGGATTGATAATTTTATAATAGCTATAAGCATAAGGCATTTGCAACGGACTGAATGTCTGTGTACCTCCAAAATTTGTGTGTTAAAATCCTAACCCCCAAGGTGATGGTATTAGGAGGTATTAGGAGGCCTTTGGGAGGTGATTAGGTCATGATGGAAGGGCCCTCATAATGGGATTAATGATCGTGATGGTTGACTTTGGGTGTCAACTTGGCTGAATTGAGGAGTTCTCAGAAAGCTGATAAAGCATCATTCACTCCAAATGCTGCAGCAGGCACTGAGCTATTCCTCTTCTGCGGAAAGGGACACCCAGCTGGTTTCACTTCGGACTAGAGTGTTTCCCAAGGAGACCGGCTTGTGGGTCAATGGACCAAGTGTGGGGAAATCTGCCTTCAATGTGGGCAGGTACCAGCCAACCGACTGAGGGCCTGAATGGAACAAAAAGGCAGAAGAACAGCAAAGTTCTCTCCCTCTCTTTATCAGAGCTGAGACGCCCTTCTTCTCCTGCCCTTGGACATCAGAACTCCAGGTTCTCTAGCCTCTGGACTCTGGAACTCACACTAGCAAGCAATGCCAGCTGGGGAGAGCCACAGGCACCCAACTCCAACCCCTGAGAGTGGCTGCGTGGGCTGAGCCCGGCAAAGCCATGGGGATGCGGCTGCCCAGGGCTGTGGGGGGATCAAACCCCCACCCAGTAAATTCAGATACCAAAATGTAGCGTCAAAGAAGATTTAATGCCTTAAGATTTAATGTCATTTGCCCTGTTAGGTTTTGAACTTACCTGGGATCTGTTATTCTTTTCCTCTTTCCTATTTCTCCCTTTTGGAGTGGAAACGTCTGTCCTGTCCCTGCACCACCAAAGTATTTTGGAAACATATAATTTGTTCGATTTCACATGCTCACGGTGGGAGGGAGGGAAATTTGTCTTAGAATGACTCCTGCCTGGAGTCTCACCCATATCAGATTCAGATGAGTCTGTGGACTTTAGACTTTTAAGTTGATACTGAAATGAGTTAAGAGATTTGGAGCCATTGGGATGGAATGAACGTATTTTGCATGTGAGAAGGACATGAATTTGGGTTGCCAGGGTTGGAGTGGTGGAATGCTATGGTTTGAATGTGTCCCTTCCAAAATTCAGGTGTTGCCAATGTGATAATATTAAGAAGTGGGGCCTTTAAGAAGTGATTAGGATATGAGGGTTCCTTCTTCCTGCTTGGAATTAGGCACCCTTACATTAGGCTTGGTAGAGGAAGTTCATCCCTTTTGCCCTTCAGCCTTCTGCTATGTGAGGACACAATATCCTCACCTCTGGAGTATACAGCAATAAGGCACCAACTTGGAAGCAGTGACTGGATGGTCATTGGACAACTGAATCCACTGGCAACTTGATCTTGAACTTCCTAGCCTCCAGAACTGTGGGAAAATTAATTTCTGTTCTTTATAAATTACCCAGTCTCGGGTATTTCGTTTATTTTTAAAATTTTTTAAACTTTAAATTTTTGTGGGTACATAGTAAGTATATATATTTCTGGGGTACATGAGATGTTTTAATACAGGTATGCAATGCATAATATTCACATCATGAAGAATGGGGTCTCCATTCCCTCAAGCATTTATCCTTCATGTTACAAACATTCCAATTATACTCTTTTAGTTATTTTTAAATGCACCATTAAATTATTGGTCTCAGGTATTTTGTTGTAGCAGCACAAGTGGACTAAGACAATGCATCTGTAAGAAGAGACATGTGAGAGATAATCTCTCTTGGCCATGTGAGGACATAGTGAGAAGTTGGCTGGCTGCAACCTGGAAGCAGGCCCTCACCAGAGCCCAATCATGCTGTCACCCTGATGATCACAGACTTCCAGCCTCTAGAATAGTAAGAAATAAATTTCTGTTGCTCATCAGCCACCTGGTGTATGGTGGTTAGTTTCAGTAGCTTGAACTGATTAAGACAGCATTTATACTTAATTATATAATTACATATATTTAAGCATCACTACAATAGAAATATTCTCATTCAGTTAACACCCAGGAGGGGCAAGAGAATTTTCTTTCTTTATAAGAAGCCAGTCCTTAGTAAGTCTCTACCTGCCTTCATGTGATAAGGACTCTGAGTCTGAGGCAGGAGAATGACTGGGCCCTGCTTCCTCTGCGGTGGGGGACTAAAACCTGTTCGGTATGTGTCTTAGTCTGTTTCGTGCTGCCATGACAGAATACCAGAGACTGGGTAATTTATAAAGAAAAGAAATTTATTTCTCACAGTTCTGCAGGCTGGGAAGTCTAATATCAAGGTGCTGGCATCTAGGGAGAGCCTTCTTGCTATGTCATCCCATGGTTGAAGGCATCACATGGTGGGAGAAAGGGAGAGAGAGGGAGAGAAGGGAAAAGAGCCAGACTTATCCTCTTATCAGGAACCCATTTTTGAGATAACTAACCCACCCCCCCTGAAAATGGCATTAATCCATCCACGAAGGCAGAGCCCTCATGACCTAATCACCTATTAAAGGTCCCACCTTTCAATATCATTGCACTGGGGATTAAGTTTCCAACACATGAACTTTGGGGAACACATTCAAGCCATAGCTATGTACTTAATTATTCCATACAGGATTTAAAAGCTCTGGCTGGCATTGGCCTGTCAGACTCTACATCACAGGTCTGAGAGCTCAGTGGTGGTCATAGCTTCCCCAAACCATCTTTATAGTCATGATCAAATTTGTATATCCCACCCAGAACTGTCCCCTGAGCTCCAGATTTACATTTTGAGGCATGTACTCAACATCTATTCTTGGACATCTCAAACTTATTACACCCAACAAGAGCCTAAGTCCTCCCCTTTTCATTTACAAGGATACCCTCTGATATGGTTTGGCTGTGTCCCCACCCAAATCCCAACTTGAATTGTATCTCTCAGAATTCCCATGTGTTGTGGGAGGGACCCAGGGGGAAGTAACTGAATCATGGGGGTCGGTCTTTCCCATGCTATTCTCGTGATAGTGAATAAGTCTCACAAGATCTGATGGGTTTATCAGGGGTTTCTGCTTTCACTTCTTCCTCATTTTCTCTTGCCACTGCCATGTAAGGAGTAAATTTTGCCTTCCACCATGATTCTGAGGCCTCTCCAACCATGTAAAACTGTAAGTCAAATTAAACCTCTTTTTCTTCCCAGTCTCGGGTACGTCTTTATCAGTGCGAAAACGGACTAATACAGTAAACTGGTACCAGCAGAGTGTGGTGCTGCTGAAAAGATAATCCTAAAATGTGGAAGCGACTTTGGATCTGAGTAATAGGCAAATGGTTGGAACAGTTTGGAGGGCTCAGAAGAAGATAGGAAAATGTGGGAAAGTTTGGAACTCCTAGAGACTTGTTGAATGGCTTTGGCAAAAAAGCTGATAGTGATATGGACAATAAGGTCCAGGCTGAGGTGGTCTCAGATGGAGATGAGGAACTTGTTGGGAACTGGAGCAAATGTGACCCTTGTTATCTTTTAGCAAAGAGACTGGCAGCATTTTGCCCCTGCCCTAGAGATTTGTGGAACTTTGAACTTGAGAGAGATGATTTAGGGTATCTGGCAGAAGAAACTTCTAAGCAGCAAAGCATTCAAAAGGTGACTTGGGTGCTGTTAAAGGCATTCTGTTTTAAAAGGGAAACAGAGCATAAAAGTTCAGAAAACTTGCAGCCTGATGATGCAATAGAAAAGAAAAACCCATTTTCTTAGGAGAAATTCAAGCTGGCTGCAGAAATTTGCATAAGTAGCAAGAAGCCTAATGTTAATCCCCAAGACCATGGGGAAAATGTCTCCAGGGCATGTCAGAGACCTTCAGGACAGCCTCTCCCATCACAGGCCTGGAGGCCCAGGAGGAAAAAGTGGTTTCATGGGCTGGCCCCAGGGTCCCTGTGCTGTGTGCAACCTAGGGACTTGGTGCCCTGTGTCCCAGCCTCTCCAGCTGTGGATTAAAGGGCCCAACGTAGAGCTCAACTTGTGGCTTCAGAGGATGGAAGCCCCAAACCTTGGCAACTTCCATGTGGTGTTGAGCCTGTGGATGCACAGAAGTCAAGAATTGAGGTTTGGGAACCTCTGTCTCGATTTCAGAAGATGTATGGAAACGCCTGGATGCCCAGGCAAAAGTTTGCTGCAGGGGCAGGGCCCTCATGGAGAACTTTGCTAGGGCAGTGCAGAAGGGAAATGTGGGGTTGAAACCCCCACACAGAGTCCCTACTGGGGCATGGCTAGTGGAGCTGTGAGAAGAGGGACACCATCCTCCAGACCCCAGAATGGTAGATCCACCAACAGCTTGCACCATTTGCCTGGAAAAGCTGCAGACACTCAACGCCAGCCTGTGAAAGCAGCCAGGAGGGAGGCTATACCTTGCAAAGCCACAGGGGCGGAGCTGCCCAATACCATGGGAACCCATTTATTGCATCAGAGTGACCTGGATGTGAGACCTGAAGTCAAAGGAGATCATTTTGGAGCTTTAAAATTTGACTGTCCTGCTGGATTTTGAACTTGCATAGGGCGTGTAACTTTGTTTTGGCCAATTTCTCCCATTTGGAATGGCTGTATTTACCAATTAATTGTACCCACATTGTATCTAGGAAGTAACTAGCTTGCTTTTGATTTTACAGGCTCATAGGTGGAAAAGACTTGACTTGTCTCAGATGAGACTTTGGACTGTGGACTTTTGGGTTAATGCTGAAATGAATTAAAACTTTGGGTGACTGATGGGAAGGCATGACTGGTTTTGAAATGTGAGGACATGAGATTTGGAGAGGCCAGGGGTAGAATGATATGGTTTAGCTGTGTCCCCACCCAAATCCTCAACTTGAATTGTATCTTCCAGAATTCCCACATGTTGTGGGAGGGTCCCAGGGGGAGGTAATTGAATCATGGGGCCTGGTCTTTCCCATGCTATTCTCCTGATGGTGAATAAGTCTCACAAGATCTGATGGGTTTATCATGGGTTTCTGCTTTTGCTTCTTCATCATTTTCTCTTGCTGCTGCCATGTAAGAAGTGCCTTTCGCCTCCTCCCATGATTCTGAGGCCTCCCTGGCCATGTGGAACTGTAAGTCCAATTAAACCTCTTTTTCTTCCCAGTCTTGGGTATGTCTTTATCAGCAGCATGAAAACGAACTAACACCCCCTCCTTGGTGAAACCTGAGTCAGGCCCTACTCAGCTCTCTTCTAGATTAGGCCTCATCCTCAGCCTGCCAAGCCCAGATTGGTGAGACTCTCCCCACTCTTGATGCCTAACCAAGTTCCTTTTGGTAATTTTCTGCCCAGTGACCCCTCACCCTGTCTGCTGGCCATAAATCCATGGCTGCCCCTGTTGCATTTGGACTTGAGTTCAGTCTCCTTTCCTATTGCGATAGTCTGGAATAAAGTCTTCCTGGCCTGTTAAACTCTGTCTAGTGTAATTTTTCTTTAACATCACCTCCACTCCCACCCCTAAAACTCATGCACCTCCAGCTTTTTCTGCCAGACACCAAGATCCATGGGCCCTAAAACACAGTTGCCATACTTGATGCCACCCCTCCCTTATTCTTTGCATCCAATCAACCCATCTCAACTCCGTCCTCTTCTCCCTCCCTAGTCCCAGTCACCCTGACCTCCAACCCCCATGACTACAGCCTCCTCCAGCTGGTCTCCCATGTCCACTTTTACCCCCTTGAATCCATTCACACAAAGCAGCAAGACTAAACTGCTTAGATGACAAATCAGACAATGGCTCACTCTTTCTCAAACCTTCCAAGGGCTTCCCATTTCTCTGAGATTGAAATCCAGACTCCTCATCTGGCTGCAAGGCCCTTCTCCCCAGCTTCATTGCATTGCCTCTCCCTGGTCCCTCTGCTCCAGGGGCCACACTGATGGGTCTTCTGTTTCATAATCACCCATCTCTGCCTCATCTCGGGTCTTTGTTCTGGGTCTGCCCTTGGCCAGGATGATGTCTTCCACTCAAGTGGCCCCTTCTCATCCACTGGGTCTCAGCTTCAATGTCAACCTCCGGAGACACTCTCCTGACCAATACCCCTAAAATGCAACCACTGCCACTCTGGTTCAGGCCTATGCTCATTTTCTTCACAGCCCCCACTACAATTGCACATAGTTATTTGCCTGCTTATCTGTCTTCATGTTTCCCTCCCACTGGCATATAAGCAACATGAGGGCAGGGCTGTGACATCCTTGTTGACAGTGACACTACCTTCACTTGCCTAGGACTGCACCCAATATGTGATAAACTCTCAGTCAAAACACACTGAATGACCTAAGTTAACCTTGAGTCGACATTGACCTTTCCTGTAAGCTCTTCGGTCACAGAACAGTCCTCTGCAGACCAGGGGGTGGCTTTCCTGATGGATCCCACAGTATTGCCTACTCCAGGCAAGCTCCTGCCCTCTACCTTGGCACAGCCAAATGTAGGCTGGCTTGTGGCAGGGAAACACATATTGTCTACATTAGCCTCAAAGTAGCATTACGTGTTTTCTGTTTGTTTGTTTGTTTGTTTGACAGAGTTCACTCTGTCGCCCAGGCTGGAGTCCAATGGCGCAATGCTGGCTCACTGCAATGTCCCTCTCCTGAGTTCAAGCAATTCTCCTGCCTCAGCCTCCCGAGTAGCTGGGACAACAGGCACATGCCACCACACCTGGCTAATTTTTTTGTACTTTTAGTAGAGACAGGGTTTCATTGTGTTAGCCAGGATGATCTCTATCTCCTGACCTTGTGATCCGCCCGTCTTGGCCTCCCAAAGTGCTGGGATTACAGGCGTGAGCCACCGTACCCAGCCAGTAGCATTCAATGTTCTTACATTTTATGTCACAAAGTGGCAGGGGTCCCATGACATGACATTGGACATTGTGTGGGCCAGGGGCAGATAAGCTTGCACCACAGCCCATGGCAACCATGAGTTCTGAGAAGCTGAAATGCACATGTGGGAAATTTGATACTTCTTCAATACAACAACAGAATTTCTCTATTTCCATCAAAGAAGGTCACTAGGAATGGAATTAAGCATAGAAAAGGAGGTTAGGGTTTTATTTGTTTATTTGTTTTTTTCATTTCAGCTCGTAATTAAGCTGTTAGGCAATGGCATTTTACTGAAAGTGGCTGCTGAACGTCCCTCTGGTGCCTGGGGTTTCCTGCTCAGGTTTCCCTTGCAGACCCCACAGGAGGCGGGAGAAGGCTGCTCAGGAAATTCTCATGGCATCAAAGCACAGCCTCACCCTCTTTAGGCCAAGCAGTTTCAAAGTGTGGACATATCAGACTTATTAAAATGGATAAGGGCTGAGTGAAATCCTGGAATAGACGAAGGGGGACACAAGCTGTGGTAGACACCCAGTGACTTGTGTAGGAAACGGGAGGTGAGGTACGGGAGCATAAAGGCACTCTCTTCTGACAGCTTCCATGTCCCAGGTAAGTTGGGAATGGGACCCAGCTCCCCTCGAGTGAGAGCAGGAGGAAGGAGCATTGGAGGCTCCAGGACAGAGGAGTATGAGCTGGTATCCAGGAAAAGGAGGAGCCAGCTGATTAATAAACTGCAGTGGGATTGGCTGGCAATAATTAGGGGCCACTGAGGTCCAGTCAGCAACGCAGAGTGACACCCATTGGCACTGGTTGGGCTTTGTCTCCAGGCTGTTTGGGTTCACACGTGTGGGTGGGTGCAGAGATGCAGACACCAGGGGAGGGATTTTTCCAGGCAAGCATGAGAGCGACAAGCAGGGCAAATGAGTTGTAAGTATTTGCCAGGGACTGATTAAAATGATGGAATGTGGCTTTACATTTCAGGTTTTATGTTTAAGTCTTTAATCCATTTTGAGAAAACATAGGGAAAAAGCTCTTTGGTATTAGCCTTGATGATGATTTTTTAGACATGATCCCAAAAGCACAGGCAACAAAAGCAAACACAGGTGGGATTGCATCAAACTAAAAAGCTTCTGCACAGCAAAGGAAACAACAGAGTGGAGAGACAGCCTGCCGAATGGAATAAGATATGTGTAAACCATGTATCCTATATGGGGTTAATGTCCAAAATATATAGGAAACTCAAACAACTCAACAGCAAGAAAGCAAATAACTTGATCAAAAATGGGCAAACAACCTAAATGGACATTTGTCAAATGAAACATACAAATGACCAACAGGTTTATGAAAAAATGCTCAACATCACTAATCATCGGGGAACTACAAATTAAAATGAGGTATCACCTAACACCTTGAGAAAGGCTTTTATCAAAAAGACCAAAGGCAGGTGTCGGTGAGGATGTGGAGAAAGAGGAACCCTTGTACTGTTGGTGGGAATGTAAGTTAGACCAGCCATTATGGAAAACAATTTAGAGGTTCCTCAAAAAATTAAAAATAGAACTACCACGTGATCCAGCAATCCCACTACTGGGGATATATCCAAAGGAATGAAATCAGTATCTAGAAGAAATATCTGCACGTCCACATTTGTTGCATTATTATACAGAGTAGCCAAGACATGCCATCAAACTCTAAGTGTCCATTGATGGATGAATGAAGAAAATGTGGTATATGCACACATGTGATATATATACTCCACATCCTCACTAACACAACAGAATACTACTCAGCCTTAAAAAATACATTTCCAACAACATGAATGAACCTGGAGGACATTATGCTAAGTGAAATAAGCTAGACTCAGAAAGACAAATACTGCATGATCTCACTTATAGGTGGAGTGTAAAAAAGTTGAACTTTATAGAGGCAGAGAGTAGGATAGTGGTTACCAGTGCCCGGGGGTGAGAAGAATGGGGAAATGCTGGTCAAAGGGTGTGAAGTTTCAGTTAGACATGAGGAGTGAGCTCTAGAGACCTATCGTACATCATGGTGGGTATAGTTAGTAACAATGTATTGTGTTCTTAAAACTTGCTAAGAGAGGCCGGGCACGGTGGCTCACACCTGTAATCCCAGCACTTTGGGAGGCCGAGGCAGGCGGATCACGAGGTCAGGAGATCGAGACCATCCTGGCTAATATGGTGAAATGCTGTCTCTCCTAAAAATACAAAAAATTAGCCAGACATGGTGGTAGGCGCCTGTAGTCCCAGCTACTCGGAAGACTGTGGCAGGAGAATGGCGTGAACCTGGGGGGCAGAGCTTGCAGTGAGCCGAGATCACGCTACTGCACTCCAGCCCGGGCAACAGAGCGAGACTCCATCTCAAAAAAAAAAAAAAAAAAAAAAGAATTGCTAAGAGAGTAGATTTTAAATGTTCCTTCCACAAAACATGACAGGTATGTGAGGTGGTAGATGTGTTAATTGGCTTGATTGTGGTAATTATTTCACAATGTATACATATATCAAAACTTCATGTTGTTCGCCATAAATGTAAACATTTTTTGTCAGTAACACTTCCATAAAGCTGGGAAAAAAGAGAGTTCATTCAAATGTATGCCACATTAAATACATCCCACTATGTAATTTTTTAATGATGGAATATGGGGTCTTTTCATTATAAGTTCTTTTGTGGCATTTGATTGGTTACCATGTCCATGATTACAATTTTTTTTTTTTTTGACACAGAGTCTCCCTCTGTCACCCAGGCTGGAGTGCAATGGCATGATCTTGGCTCACTGCAACTTGAGTAGCTGGGATTGCAGGCACCTGCCACCATGTCCAGCTAATTTTTGTAGTTTTAGTAGAGATGGGGTTTCTCCATGTTGGCCAGGCTGGTCTCAAAACACCTGACCTCAAGTGATCTCCCTACCTTGGCCTCCCAAAGTGCTGGGATTACAGGCATAAGCCACTGCACCTGACCATGACTGCTAATATTTTTAAGTAGAAAAAACAAATGTAAAGCAGATGCTGGTCAGATTAAGAATGAGCCGGTCCTAAGAGACAGTGCATGGAAGCACGCCAGAGTTCATCCTGCACCTCTGCCTCCTGGAGCAAGGGAATCACCCGGACACAGGGTGTGAGGAGCACCCCTAGAATCTCCAGCACCTCTGAATGGGTTTTCTGGTCAGGGTTTGGCTCTCCAGGGCACAGCTTCCACCCTTCCTAAGATAGAGTCCACTCTACTCTTAGGTAAAATATGAGTTAATATACCAAAGGCAGGCAGGGGGAGAGACTGTCCATCTGTTATGGGTTGGGTTGTGTCCCCCCAAATTCACTGTTGAAGTCCTGATCTTCTGAAGTCTTTACAGGGGTGGTTAAGTTAAAATGAGGCCATGAGGGTCTGTCCTAATCTAAAGTCATTTGTGTGCATGTGTATATTCATTGCAGCACTATTCACAATAGCAAAGACATGGAATCAACCTAAATGCTCATTAATGGTAGACCGGATAAAGAAAATGTGGTACACAGACACCATGGAATACTATGCAGCCATAAAAAGAACAAGATCATGTCCTTTGCAGGAACATGGATGGAGCTGGAGGCCGTTATCCTAAGCGAACAAACACAGGAACAGAAAACCAAATACCACATATTCTCACTTGTAAGTGGGAGCTAAATGATGAGAACACGTGGATACATAGAGGGGAATAACGCACACTGGGGCCTATCAGAGAGTGGAGGGTGGGAGGAGGGAGAGGATCAGGAAAGATAATGAATGGGAAGTAGGCTTAATATACCTGGGTGATGAAATAATCTGTACAACAAACCCCCATGATACAAGTTTACCTATGTGACAAACCTGCATTTGTACCCATGAACTTCAAATAAACGTTAAAAAAAGAGGCAATTGGGATACAGACACATAGAGAGGGAAGTCTGCAAGCCAAGGAGAGAGGCTGCAGGAGAATCCAAACCTGACACTTTGATCCTGGACTCACAGGCTCCATGACTACCCGGCAATAACCTTCTGCTGTTTATGCCCCCAGTGTGTGTAACTTCCTTATAGTAACCCCAGCAAACGCATACATCATCCAGACTAGGTAGGCCATTTTTCTAAAATATTACTAAACTATGTCAAATATTTAAACACTGTTTTGTAAAATACAAGCTGAAGTGTTTGAACGTTTCCTCATTTGCACATTTATGCGCCAGTGAATTGCTGGTTGACATATTCATAGGTTTAACCATATGGCATCTGGTTCATTTCATATATGTTTGGTTTCATCACACTGAATTCTGTTGTCACTTACATTAAGTCCCCAAAAGACCTTTTCATGAATGTTAAGGAGAAATCATGATATAATGAAATCAGATAAATAAACAATTGAATCTGGTGAATCCAACCAAAATTAAAAGTTGTCATATTAGGGTCGAGTTTGTACTATTTTGAGTGATAGTAACATATTACGGAATGAGACACAAACAAGATGCATTCCTAATTATATGTGTCTGTGCACGTGTGTGTGTGTGTGTGTGTGTGTGTGTGTGTGTGTTGATGTATAAACTCTGGACAAAAAAATGTTTTCTTAAAGAACTATTTGAAGGCAAATAGTTCTTCAGTTGAATAGTTCTTCAAATAGATAATAAACTATTTAATAAATAGTTCTTCTTTAAATAGTTCTTCAAATAGTTAAGAAACTATTTAAAGTTTCTTAAAGAACTATTGGAAAGTGGTTAAGAACAGGCAGAAACCGGAAGAGTGTCCATCTGTAAGGGATGAGGGTTTGCCTGGCTTTCCAGCTGGGGCTGATACAGAAAGTACAGCCTCTCTCACTGCCTTGAGGGCTCAGCGGATGAGAAGCGATTCCTAAATGGCTGGAAAATGAGGGGGGAAACGCCAGGCGGAAAGGAGGAAGGGAGCACTTCCAGGGATGTTGTCTGCAGGCACTCAGAATGGTCCGGCGTTTGACATACTGTCGTAGGCTTTCCTGAAATACAGCCTTTAACAAAACTAGGCTCCCCCGAACCCCTGGTAATGGAATTGTTTACCTTTATACCAAGAAGGTTGGGAAAGCACCAAAATCTGCATGTGGCGTGTGCCCAGGCAGACTTCGAGGGGTTCTTGCTGTAAGACCTAAAGTTCTTATGAGATTGTCCAACACAAGGAAACATGTCCGCAGGGCCTGTGGTGGTTTGATGTGTGCTAAATGTGTCTGTGACAGGATCAAGGGCGCTTTCCTTATCGAGGAGCAGAAAATTGTTGTGAAAGTGTTGAAGGCACATGCACGGGGTCAGAAAGCTAAATAAAAAATGAAACTTTTTGAGTAATAAAAATGAAAAGACTTAAAAAAAAGAAAGGAGCAAGGGGGGAGCCCTAAAACCTGTGTAGAAATTCCCCCAGGTCTTCAACTGACCTCTCAGCTATGCCTGAGTGGCAGAGAGTCCAGGGAAACTTCCAGAAGGAGCCAGCTGGAGTGCTGGGGAGACAAGGGAGGAACCAGAGAATTAGATGTAGTAAATCTCAAAAGGTTGACATTTTGGGGAGCATGTTCTCTGACCACAGTGAAATTAAACTAGAAATCGACATCTTGAAAATCTCCAAAAAGCTATAGTGGGCATTATTGGGCAATTGGTGAGCTTTGATTATGGGCTGAGGATTAAGGTAATAATATTGTATCAGTGTTAAGTCTCCGGATTTTGATAATTACACTGTGATCATGTACAAGATGGTATTTGTTTTTGGGAAATACACACTGGAGCATTTAGAGGTAAAATGGCAGAGTCTGTGGGGGGAGGGAGAAGGAGAGAAAAGGGAGGAGGAGGAAGAGAGAAGTGAAAAAGCAAATGGCATAAAATGTTAAACCATCGTTGAATCCGGGTGAACGGTATATGGGAGCTCTTTGTACTACATTTGCAACTTCTGTGAAATTTTAAAATTATATCAAGATTTACCCCTTAAAAACAAAAAAACAAAACAAAACCTAACTCGCATCCTATTTTGCTTCTATTTACTTCTGGAATTGTCTGTATAGGAGATTAGAGGCAAGACCTTCCAAAGCGCCCCACCCTCACACCCAGCTGGGAGGGGCTGTGAATGGTACCATGGGGATCGTGGCCAAACAGAAGACAGGGGCTTTGTCACCTGGCGCAGAGGGCAGACCAGGTCCCCACAGCTCCAGCCCGCTCCTGAGCACCATCTCACCATTACTGGGTTTCTAAGTGGACAGCAGCAAGGTCCTTGTGCTAAACTGCAAAGCACATCACAGAGCCCAGAGGCAAGGATTAGTGTCTGCTAGACAAATGAGCAGCTGCGATTATCATCTTGTTCAAAGTTTAGAAACATCTAGATAGGAAAGGTGAGAGAGCAACTGTCTCTGACTAATGAGTTTTTGTGTGGTGGCAGTGGTGGGGGGCGTTCAGAGGAGGCTGAAGAGGGGAGGGAAAGTTGCCACCCATGAAGAACCTTTAGAGAGCAATATAGACTTTGTGATCTGCCCCTGTCTTAGCATTTCCTGCACATCCCCCATGCACCACACGCCTCAGACAGGTTCTCTTCTGTCTTTGAAGCAGTCGTTAACTCTGCACACGCTGGTGGTCCTGAAGCACCTCTCTGCCGCCTTCCTGTGTTTAGGAGAATTCCCCCTCCTGTGTCTCAGTGGGAGGCAGGGACTGACTCCCACAGCAGAAGATAAAAATGCCAGGGACTTGCTTTCTCAGCCGTCCTTACGGTGTAAGCTGGGATGTGAGGCAGCCAATCAGAGGCATTTGCCCAGAGTCTCAGGGGCCCCCAAGGCCCTCTCTCGGGCAGCTAGCACAGCTGCAGGCCATGGAGACCCTGGGTCAGCAGTGCAGGTGCAGCACCCAGCAACTAGGACCCTCAGCGGCTGCAGCAGCAGCATCCCTGAGGACCAGTCACGGGCATGGTTCCCACACACCCAGCTGCTCTGCGACTTGCCAGACATCATGTGTACAATCCAGTGACATCAAATACTTTCTCAATGTTGTGCAGCCATCACCACTCTCTAGTTCTAGAACTTCATCACCCAAATGGAAACCCTGTACCCAGGAAGCAGCCGCTTTCATTCCTCCCTTCCCCACACGGTCCCGTGCAACCACGAGTGCATTCCATCTCCATGGATTTGCCCTTTCTGGGTGTTTGATATGAATGGAACCATACATTCTGTGGTCTGACTTCTTTCCTTGAATGTTTTCAAGGCCCATGCATGTTGTAACATGTGTCAGAGCTTCAGTCCTTTCTATGGCCAAACAATATCCCACTGCATGGATATATTACATTTTTTTTACCCATTCATTTGTTGATGGACAGTGGGTTGTGTCCAGCTTTTGGTGATTGTGAATAGAGCTGCTATGAATATTCATGTACTAGTTTTTGTGTGGAGACCTATTTTCCATTCTGTCGGATATAGACCTAGGAATGGAATTGCTGGGTCATATAGTGATTCTATGTTTAACTTGTGGAGGAACTGCCAAGCTATTTTTCCCAGTATCCTTTTAATACATTATTTTATCCTTAATATAAGCAGAGTTTATTTCTGTTGTTTGCAACTAGGAACCCTGACTGATATCTTATTCCCACCTTACTGATGGGAAACCTGAGGCTCAGGGAAGACTGAGTGGTTTGTCCAAGGCTTCTGACTGGATCCAGGCTACAAATCCCTTAACAGTTTGCTGCTGAGACTCTAGGACAGTGAGATTCCCTTTGCATCTTACCTCCTGCACAAATGATATGGTGCGGTGGTTCCCAGCAGGGATCCCTGGAGGCCAAGGGTGCCATGAATTATTGACCAGGGTCTGGGAGCTATTTTGAATATTTCACTAAGTGTAATGGAAAACCTCCACTTTCGCACAATGAAGCTGTTCAGGCTGTCTAAAATGTCAAGTGTCTTTGCTTTTGGCAGAAATTAAATCAACCCATGGTGGTAATAAGGGTTATTGCCTGCTGATCAGAGACTCTGGCTCTCAGGCTGGCAGTTATGTGTATCTTTGATTAATTTTAAAAATGGGAAAATGAATAAATTATTACTTAATAAATGCAGTTGTTTTGGTGAATGAAAATCTTTTAAAACATGGGGTCCGCGGGGAGAGAAATCAGACATGAGTGTCTTGGTGACGAGAAGGTCATCAAAGCATTGAGAACACGTCCTTGGCTGTCTCCTGGGACTCTGGGTCTGAGAGTCTTGATTCTGCCACAGACAGCTCAGACCTTGTGACCGTGGGTGTCCCCTTCTCTGCCACAGAGGGGCTGACTTAACCGTTGCTAAGCTTCCTTCCAGCTGTGGTGTCCTGTGATTCTAACCCACCTATGAGGGGAGGCAGCGATGAAGAGGGGAGATAATTCGTTTTTTTCTAGATGGCTGTGGGGCACTTTCCCAGGGAAGCCAGAAGCTGAGCTGCCTGCAGGACACAGCAGTGACCAGAGATGGGAGGTCCTGCGCGCACCCCAGTCTCTCTCTCCAGACCCCTTCTCCTGCTGTATCCTCTGGCTTGCAGATGACCACTTTCCTTCACCCCTCACCTCTTCCCTCACCCACGTCCCAGCAGGCCATTGTCAGGCCCTTTCTATCCCTGGAGGTCTGTCCTCTGGATCAATACCTCTCTGTCCCCAGGCTGTCTCCCACAGCGTCCCCAGCTGGGCTCTCAGCCTCAGGCTGGGCTCCTGAGCATTCACCACCTGTTTCCCTGGCTGGCATCACAGAACCCCGATATCTTTGTTTTGTCTTTGCTAACGTGGTGTGGTCACCTCACACCTTACTTGGTGTAAGCTAAGCAAGTAAGGTAAGGTGTCACGAAGCAGCCGTGACACCTGCCCTCCCAGCACACCTCTCACCATCCTTCCTAAAGCCTGCACCAGCCACAGGGAGCCACATGCGGCCTCCCGGATGGCTAGGCTGTTCCCGGCCTCCAAGCCTTTGGGTCATCCCTAATTGCTTTCTTGACATTTAGCTTGAAAGAGTGACAAAGTGACATTTTAACTCCTGGTGATACATACTGGTCCTCATGACAAATACAGTCAGCCCCAGTGGGCTTCTGTGTGATTTTGAACCCACCCCTCCACCTCTCTGGGTGCTGAATACGCTCATCACCTGAAAGAACATTTACCGTCTACCTAACCATGAGCTATGGACATAAATAAATTAACATTTGTAAAGAGCCTAAGAACGTTCAAAGGAATGTTACCCAGCAGTGAGTAAACAGCTCCGTGAAGTGTCAGCTCTGGAGGGCAGTCTTGCAAGTCGTGAATTGACTGATGAACCCACAAACAGGCATTCATCAGTCAAAGACAATGGTTTGTGAACTCTTGAAGCTCATGCCCTGTGTGGGCATCAGACCTGAGATTTACTGTTTAATGGGCCTATTTAATATCTACCCAGAGATACATAGCGTCAGATGCCAGAGGGGGAGGGCTCAAGTGTCCCAAGAGTACCCCTCAGCCCTCAGACACCAGTCGCAGGGCCAGGCCTCCAGAGCTTCTGACCCATTGGCTTCAAGTTGGGGTTCCTACAACTCCCACTTTGTGTTTGATTAATTTGCTGGAGCGACTCACAGAACTCAGGGAAACACGTTTACCAGTTTATATGAAAGAATGTCACAAAGGGTACAGATAAAGAGAAGCACAGGACGAGATATGGGGGAAGGTGCCTGGAGCTTCGGTGCCCATCCTGGGCGTGCCACCCTCCAGGAGCCTCCACGGGTTCAGGTATCCGCAAGCTCCCGGACCCTGTCCTCGTGGGTTTTTATGGAGGCTCCGATGCACGGGCATGCTTGACAACCACGCGGAAGTGTGACCGGACAGAAAGCGTGTGACTTAAACCCAGCAAGGCCGGCCTGCTCGGACTTTTCTTGGCTTCTCTAAGCAGCATTCCTTCCTCTAGGGTATGGGGCAGGACTTTCTGTGGAGTGAGGGTTTTTTGATCCACAAACAGATTAGCATCCCGCCGTGGGCAAGTGAAAGAAAAACAGCAGAAGGTCAGAGAGAGATTCTGTTTCCTGAGTCCTAAGGCGCCCCAGCATTCTAACAAGGAATGTGGGTGCTGGGAGCCAGGAACCTGGACAAAAACCAAAACGCATATCCTAACACCACAGGCCTTCTGCGATGCGACGTTTTTCCAGACACTTCCCAGACCTCACAATCCCTTCCGTCTTCCCTTCATTGTCGACTTCTCGGCCTGATTTTAGCAGCTTTTGCACACACTGTGCCATTTAACTCTTAGGTGTGGCTCAGGGAGCTTAGCGGGTGCTCAAGGACACTGGATTTGAACTTGAACCGCCTGACTCCAAAGTCCAAACTATTCACCACTTTGCTAGTCTTCCTGTGTTCATCTTGAAAATGTGCTTGAGGCAACCCTATTAAACAGCGTTTCTCAGATCTGTTGCCCACACACGGCACAAACTGCCAGAGCTCACAGGCCCTCTCCTGGCCTGGAGTGAGTCCCCAGCAAATCCCAGTTAGAGCCTGCTGGGGATGCAGGCACGGAAAAGGCCAAGCAGCGGGGTGCTCCGTCCCAGGCTGGAACAGCACAGCCGAACCACGTCAGAGCCAGTCAGCCCCGAGGCGTGAGGCAGGGAGGCTGGGCTTGTTTAGCTTTCTGTCTCCCAGGGTTCTGTGGTGCCTGTCTGTAGGGGACAGAGAAGCTCTGTGAGCTGGTTGTCCCTGTGCTATTGCTATTAAAAGGCCCTGCCGACGGTGCCGCCTGGGCGTGGGGGTGATTAAGGCGCAGTGACAGCAGGTTGGCCTGCTGCCCTGGCTGGGGAGCGGTGCTTTGCCAGGCATGGTTTCCCTCATCAAACGGGGGAAACAGGTGGCTGGGTCCAAAGTGCTTCCCTCTGACGGGGGTGCGGCTTCACTCCCATCATCTAAGTCTGAATTAATCCCAGAGCAGCCTTCTCCAGGTGTGCTGGGCAGGAGACAGGTGCACAGGGGAGGGAGTGGGGGAGGAAAGGAGTGAGAGGAAAGAAAAGAGGAAGGAAGGGAGAGAGGGAAGGAGGAAGTTCCCTTGCACTGCCCAATGCCAGTGCTTTGCAGGGTGGGGAAATGAGAGAGGAAGGCATTGAAGATGTTTCTCTTATCCAGGCTTCCCTTGGACCCTCAGGATTTCCTTTGCCTGGGTCCCAATGACCTGTGACTGGCTAAGGGGCACCGTGAAATCCCCTCACATGCAGCCACCTCATCAGAGCAGGGAATGTGGACCTGCTGGGCACAGGCAGCCAACGGTGGCCACTTCCTTGCTCCTCCTCCCCCCCACTGAGTAGCACATTCTTAGGGAATCCAGAAGACCTTCCTACCCGCGAGCGCCGAGAGCCTGGGAGCATCTGAGATCCGCTCTTCCTCTCGTCCCAGCTGTCACTGCCCTTCTGTCTCTTGTGCCCTCCAGTGCCGAGGTCATGGGCTGGCAGAGCATGTGGTCTGGACCCTCTGCGCGTGGACAGGCCCTCCTCAGCTGACTTGGCCTGAATGGGGAGCCGGCAGGCTGGGACACCCCTCTGAGTCTCAGCCGTGGATTATAGGCCAGCTCACAGGCTCTCGGCTCAGCTGCCCGACAGTGTGCCTCTCCAGGGCTGCCAGAACACTCGGGGGCATCCGGGTCACATGAAGGCTAAGCATGTCCTGGGGACACTCAACTTGAAGGCCCCCTTCAGCCTAAAGACATTGTGAGCCCCTGGTTTACTAGCTATGGTCACTGTCACAGGTAGGCACAGGGGGAGTCATCTGGGAGGACAGCATGGTCCCTCTGTCTTGGGCACTGTATTAGATTCCTAGAGCTGCCATAACAAAGCACCTCGAGCCATGTGGCTTAAAACCATAGCAATGTCTGGTCTCACAGTTCTGGAGGCCCGAAGTCTGAAATCAAGGTGTCAGCGGGACCACGTTTCCCTCTGAAACCTGTAGGGCAGGAGCCTTCCTTGTTTCTTCCAGCTTCTGGGAGTTTGCAGGCAATATTTACGTTCCTGGGCTTATAGATGCTCCACTCCAATCTCTGCCTCTGCTGTCACATGGCGTTCTCCGGGTGTCTCTGTCTTCATGTGATCATCTTCTAATGAGGACACCAGTCACATTGGATCAGGGCCCAGCCTACTCCAGTATGACCTCACCTTCACTAATGACATCTGCAAAGACCCTACCTCCAAACACAGTCACACTCTGAGGTGCTAGGGGTCAGGACTTCAACCTTTGTCTTTTGGGAGACACACAATTCAACCCATAACCGGGGCTCTCAAGGATATGAGGGTGAAATTTCCTTCCTCATTCCTTGTGTAGTCTACTGGTTAAGCCTTAATGGTGAGCAGCTCAACTTGCATGCTCTGAAAAGAACACACTGCTCCAGCTCCCCTGAGCGCGTGGGTTGCCTGGGGCCTTGTTAAAGGCAGATTCAGACTCAGCTGGTCTGGCGGAGGAGGGGGGGCCAAAGACTCTGCGTTTCTATTAAGCGCCCAAGTGATGCTCAGGCCGCTGGTCAGTGAACCAAACTTAAATAGGGAGAAGGAGCTAGACCACAAAGCCTTCCCAAGGAGTCAGGCCCCTCCTGCCCCAGAGGAGAGGTGGAGGGCTGCAAGGTTCAAGTGCTAGAAGAAAGGAAGCAAGCAGAATGCTCCAGTTTAACAGTCAACAGAAAACGGCATCCCTATTACAAGTGCATAGTCAAACCTGCTCCAAGGCCCCAGGCTGGGAGCTGCCATCTGAATTACCCGTAGCCAAATCCCTAGCAAAGAGTGGAGGACAGGCCGAGCTGCCAGGAGGGCCTCAGGGGAGGCCCACCACTTCCGCCTGCTTCCACCTTTGTCCCAATTCAATCAACTCCCATGCTTTTATTTCTCTTGGGAAATACTTTAGAAATGGGATTTTTCTGGGTCATATGGTAAATACATGCTTAACTTTTTAAAATAACTTTTTATTACGTATAATTCATCTACCATAATATTCACCCCTTTCTAAAGTGTATGATTCAGTGGCATTTAGTAGATTCACAGAGTTGGGCAACCATCACCACTGTCTAATTCCGGGATACTTATGGATTAAAGACTTACATGTTAGACCTAAAACCATAAAAACCCTAGAAGAAAACCTAGGCATTACCATTCAGGACATAGGCATGGGTAAGGACTTCATGGCTAAAACACCAAAAGCAATGGCAACAAAAGCCAAAATAGACAAATGGGATCTAGTTAAACTAAAGAGCTTCTGCACAGCAAAAGAAACTACCATCAGAGTGAACAGGCAACCTACAGAATGGGAGAAAATGTTTGCAATCTACCCATCTGACAAACGGCTAATATCCAGAATCTACAAAGAACTTAAACAAATTTACAAGAAAAAATCAAACAACCCCATCAAAAAGTAGGCAACGAATATGAACAGACACTTTTCAAAAGAAGACATCTATGCGGCCAACAGACACATGAAAAAATGCTCATCATCACTGGCCATCAGAGAAATGCACATCAAAACCACAGTGAGATACCATCTCACACCAGTTAGAATGGCGATCATTAAAAAGTCAGGAAACAACAGGTGCTGGAGAGGATGTGGAGAAACAGGAATGCTTTTACACTGTTGGTGGGACTGTAAACTAGTTCAACCATTGTGGAAGTCAGTGTGGCAATTCCTCAAGGATCTAGAACTAGAAATACCATTTGATCCAGTGATCTCATTACTGGGTATATACCCAAAGGATTACAAATCAAGCTACTATAAAGACACATGCACATGTATGTTTATTGTGGCACTATTCACAATAGCAAAGACTTGGAACCAACCCAAATGTCCATCAGTGATAGACTGGATTAAGAAAATGTGGCACATATACACACTATGGAATACTATGCAGCCATAAAAAAAGGATGAGTTCATGTCCTTTGAAGCGACATGGATGAAGCTGGAAACCATCATTCTGAGCAAACTATCGCAAGGACAGAAAACCAAACACCGCATGTTCTCACTCATAGGTGGGAATTGAACAATAAGAACACTTGGACATAGAGTGGGGAATATCACATACCGGGGCCTGTCGTGGGGTGGGGGGCTGGGGGACAGATAGCATTAGGAGAAATACCTAATGTAAATGACGAGTTAATGGGTGCAGCAAACCAACACGGCACACGTATACCTATGTAACAAACCTGCAAGTTGTGCACATGTACCCTAGAACTTAAAGCATAATAAAAAAGAAAAAAAAAGAAAAAAAAGAAAAATGCTAATTCACTTGTAACATTGTACTGTTAGAAACTAGGAGCTTATTTTATATAATTTATTTAATGCCTTAGCTCATTTTAGCCTCACTACAATCCCATGAGTATGATTAGTACCCTCATTTTCCAAGTGGGGAAACCAAGTCACAGAGCTCTGGGAACTGCTCAAGTTCTCCCAGCTGGTCAGTGGCAGAGCCACAGTTCATGCCTGATGCCCGAGGCATCTAACCTTCAGCAGGGCTTCCGGTTCCTCCCAGGTGGCAGGTTAGATGTGTTACCCAGGGGATGAGGGGCATGTGGGGTGGAGTCAGGCCCTGGTTCAAGGGCGGGTGCTGGTCTCACCCCATCTGAGTGGAACAAGGCAGACGGTGGGGCTGGCGGCCTGAGAGCAGTGGGGAGAGGCTCATGGAGTCTGACTTCCATGGGTGGGAGAGGGGCTTTCTACCAGGAAGCCATGCGCAGCTGCCCTGGCTTTGCTGTGTGGTCACTGGGTGGGAGACAGACTCAGGAAGTACTCATGCCCATCCCGCTGCTCTAGCTCAAGGGACTTTGGGAAGAAGCAGTGTGGATAAACCAGAGGCTCGACCCTCAGCACTGGGGTCTCACCCTTTCCCTTGCCTCTCTGTGCTGTTGAGTCCACCCTCTCTGTTCCCAGGATGCTGCCCAGCTGGGCAATGTCAGCAGCCTCTGACGCTCCGAGGAAACCACCAACAGTTGGGGCCACATGGCCTCATTGTTTCTCTCCCTTTGACCTTTGCAGGCCTGGCTTGCACCCTAGACACCTCCAGCTCCACCCTTCAGCTTCATCCATGTAGCTGTCACTCGCCTGGAGAGAGCTCCATGCCCCAGGTGTTCCGTCAACTCAAGGCTGACCCTGTCCCCAGAGCCCTTTCAGACCCACTTCTCTGTCCATCTCTTCTGGAAAATTTGCTCCCTCGGCCCTGAGCTGCCATCTCCACTTAGGAGCTGCGCTGCTCATTTGGTTGTGAGATGTGGCAAGTCATTTTCTTCTTCTATTGTGGTATAATTTGCATATGGTGAAAGGCATAGATCTTAAAGTCTAGAGTTTGATGAGTTTGGACAAATGCATTCATCTGTGTAACCCACGCTCCTATGAAGACAAGAACATTTCTGGTCAGGTGTGGTAGCTCATGCCTGTAATCCTAACACTTTGGGAGGCTGAGGGAGAATTGCTGGAAGCCAGGAGTTTGAGACCAGCCTGAGCAACATAGTAAGACCCTGTTTCTTAGAGGAAAAAAAAAAAAAAAGAGAGAGAGAGAGAGAGAGAGAGAGAGAGAGAGAGAGAGAGATAGAGAGAATTGCTATTTGGGAATCTGGGCAGCCTCACCAAAAAAAAAAAAAAAAAAAAAAAAAAAGATAGAGAACATTTCCCATCACCTGAAAATTTCCCTCGTTCCCCTTTACAGTAAATCCCTTTCCAGCCCCAGACGACCTCTGATCTGTTTCTGTCACTGGAGATTAGGTTTATCTCTTCTGTAACTTCATAAATGCATTTCCCTGCTCACAAATAATGTTGAGTATCTTTTCATCTTACTGGTCATCTATAATCTTTTTGTGAAGTATTTTTTCAAGTCTGCCCATTTTTTCAAAATGGTTTTAAAAAACATTATTATCAAGTTGTGGGAATTCTTTGTATATTCCGGATATAAGTCAAATATATGTGTTACAAATATTTTTTCCCAATCTGTGGTTTCCCTGTTCATTTTCTCAATAACATATTTCAAAAAGCAGAAGTTTTAAATATTGAAAAAGTTCAGTGTATCATCTTTTTCTTTACTAATGTTTTCTGTGTCCTTTCTAAAATATCTTTGCCTATCCAAGGTCAAAAAGATGGTCCCATATGTCTTTTTCGTTAAGCTATTAGGTAGTAAGTTTTTGGCTTTTGTATTTAGGTCTGTGTGCCAACTCGAATTAATTTTGTGTGAAGTAGGGTGTCGAGATTTTTCTTTCTTTCCTTATATGAATAACCCGTTGCTCCACCACCATTTGTTGAAAATGCCTTCCTTTCTCTATAGGACTGCTTTGGCATCCTAGTTATTTCTTAATAATAAAGTATAGATGGCATCAAATGATTCACTCTTGATACATTAGCAGCTGTTTAAAAATAGATGTCAAAGTTTCCTTTATACTAATGTCAAGCTCATACGTGTGCATTGTGACGTCCTTTTTTGATAGGGAGAGCAGGGGCAAGTTGTACTCTGCAAACAGCCGTGGATGCACCTGTGTCCTGCATGTGAGCTTCTAACAGCTGAGGGTGCTGCAGGAACCACGGGCCGGGAAGTGTTGCTCTGGAAAGCGTAACACACTGATTTCCTTTTCAGATGCAACCTTGTGTAACCAGTTCCAAGAGCCCACCTTGATTTCTCATGTTGAACTCAACATTCTCTCTGTTGTTTTGCATGTGAGAGCGTGCTATGTCCTTCCTAAGGCTTAGATCCAGAATAGACAAAGACACACTTCACTTGGGGAGGGAAGGCCGTGGAGGGCAATGCACTGCTCGTATTCATCGCGTTCCCATCTGTTTTCCATGCTTGGCAGACATATGGCACAGAAGGAAGGCTGTGGCCTTTAGTCTCATGGAGAAGGGGCCTTAAATTCTATCTTGAAAACCCACTGAGGACTCAGGCCTGGTCCTCGGGCCTCATGTTCTCAATTCCCAAGTAGACATATGCTGGCTACCTTTTGTGGAGTTTTTGTGAGCCTAAAATGAGATGCATCAAGTTTTACACACACGATTTCCCTACTCCTTGCTGAGCCATTCATACTAGGGCCAGAGATTATAACCTCCGTTTTAGGGTTGAGGAAATGCAGGCTCAGGGATGTTAATGACTCATCTATGGCAGAGCTGGGTTTAGACCCCCAGCGTGGTCTTGGGCTTGGTCCAGGGCTCCGAGGAGCGTTCCTGCTCCACTCTCCTCCTGAGCAAAGCCCATGAGCTTGGAAATGGGCTAGAGAAAGAACCAGGGCAGGATGGTCTCATCCACATTGCTGGCATCACCTGTGGCCCCCGCCTTTGAATAGGGCACTGGCTGTGTTTTTTTGTTCGTTCGTTTGTTTGCTTTTTTGACTTTCTAAGCAATGATGCATTTTTGGGTACAGAAGCCACTTAGAAAACTCAGAGTCAGCATACTTTGGAGTGATTGCTGAGATCAGGAATAAGCACATTCCCTCCCTCTCGCTGGCCCACTTCCTGGGCGCTAGGATACACCCTCCTGGGGACACCATCATCCTTGAAGGATCCTAAGATTGCTCAGTTCAGAGTTTCCTCTATTCCTCAGGACATCTGATTTGGCATCCTGAAGCCACTGCGGTTGCAAGTGTAAAGCTATTGACAACTTTGAGCATCTGAGGATAAAGTGGGGCTTCTAACCGTTTTGACCTAGAGCCCATAGCTGATCCCAAGGGCCCACGTTCCATGACCAAGCACCTTATGAAAGGGTCCCATGGTTTGTTTGTGGCTACCACTGTTGCCTTGAAAGTTGAAGCTCCATGCAGTGGATGTCACCACCATGGTGGTGGCCCACCTGCCTTTGCCCTGGTCCAGAGTGAATTCCTAGCTCCGGCCATAGGTGTGCCTGGGCAAGTGCGCAGGGGGAGTCGGGGGCAAGGTGACGAGCACAGACTTGGATGTGAGGAGGCCTTAAGTTTTGACTTTGCAATGGCTCCTGGAACACGTTAACCTTTCACTTGGAGAATGGGAAGCATGGGGCCTGCTGGAGGCGGTGGAATGAGACCATGAGCGTGGACTCCACGAGGGCTGGGCCTTGTCTGCCCTGCTCATGGCTCTATCTCTCCCACATAAGACAGCAGCTCCACTCTCTATGGGACTGAGACTGCGGGGTGCTGCACCTGCACACTACAAACGTCAGCTGCCACCGCCCCCCACATCCCTGTTACTAGTGATGGCAGTGCCCCACCTTCCTGCAGATTGGAAGAGCGCAGACAGCCCAGGCCAGGAGCTGCTAAGTGCTCCTCAAGTCATCATGGCCAGTGGGTAGCATGGAGAGCTCCTGGCGTGAGAACCAAAGACACACATGTGCCTAGTGGGGAGTCTGGTAAGCAGGGCCGGCTGGGGGGGCATTCGGAGGCCACCACACAGAGTTCACTCACTTGTTGTTTCCTAGATAGGAAAAAAATTGAACTTCCAGTGTTGAGGGGCTTCCTTTCCCATTTCTTGGCTGCCTGACCACCAGCCACCGCTGGGAGCATCAAGACCCTGTTCAGCTTTGCTGACTTGTTCAGGACCTGGGCAAAGCCAGGAGCAGAGCAACCTGGGGAGGGGACAAAGACACAAATGGCTGTTGAGCCCGCAAGGCCCTCTGCTCCACCCGAGGCTCCAGATGGTCACATAATTTATTCCCACGACATTCCCAATTGCTAATGCCTGCTGGCCCCAGTCTTGCTGGCGTCTGTAGAGGCCTATCATAGGGACAGGTAACACATGTGCTAGAAGGATCCTTGATCCACAGCTCCAGGATATGGGCTTCTAGACCATCCTTACAAGGAGGGAAACTCTCTACGTAAGGTTGTCTTCTCACATCAACATGTCTCAAAGCACCAGACAACAGGGCTGCAGGGAAACTTCTCCAAAAGACCATGGAATTGTAAGAGTCAAGCCCAAGGGCCCTTTAGGAAGGCCTCTCCAGCATTTCCCGAGGTGCTGCAGCCCTGGCCCGACCTGTCCTGACCCCCGTGGTGGCCTTCCACCTAAAGACACCTCAGGATCTCTGCTTCAATGTGGTGTTTGGAAAAATGCTCTGGGAACCCCAGTTTGAGGCCCAGCTCTACAATACTTCACTGTTACTGTGCCCTTGGGTAAGTCACTTGTCTCTTTGTACTTCAGTGTCCTCGGGTATAGACCGGGGGGACATGTGGATGCCCTGTGGGATCTGTTCCAGTTTGGATGGTTCACACTTCCATTGTTTTCTCCCTGAATAATGATCAGAGCAGTGACCCTTCTTGATGGCTTATCAGGTGCTGGGTTCTGCGGCAAGTGCAGTATGCGATGTCTTACACAGCCCTCACCACAGCCTCTGCAGTGGGCGATATTATCATCCCCATTTGACAAAGGAGGAAACTGGGCCTCCTGGAGGGTCATAGCCATAGTGCTGGTATTGGTCACCAGGCTGTCCTTCCTTTGGGAATCATGTGTTTCTTGAACTGCAAAGTGACTTCATCTAATGGATTAATTTACCTTTCTTTTCCTCGTTCATTATTTATTCTCCTGTAGAAGTCACATGAAAAAGTCAAGAGCTGGATGTCCCCTTGGCTCTTTGGTGGTAGGGAAGGCTCACTTTTGGCACAAGTGCTGGTCGGTCAGAGTGGACCCTGAGGGGGTTCTGCACAAGCCCTCGTAGAAACAGAACGAAGGTCTAGGGAGCAGGAGAGAGGCACAGACCTTACAGTCAACCCACTACTGTTTACACATTTTTTTTTTTTTTTTTTTTTTTTTAGACAGGGTCTTGCTTTGTTGCTCAGGCTGGAGTGCAGTGGCACGATCATGGCTCACTGCAGCCTCCTGGGCTCAATCAATCCTCCCACATTGGCCTCCCAAGTAGCTGGGACTACAGGGGCATGCCACCATGTCCAGCTGGTTTTTAAAATTTTTTGTAAAGGTAGGGTCTCACTATGTTGCCCAGGCTGCAGACAGACATTCTTAATGTGGAGGCCGTGGACTTGAGTGTGAGGCCTGCCACCTCCTGTGTATGTATCTTGAGTCACAGACAAGGGAACAGAGGCCTGAAGAAGTCATAGCTTAAGTCATGGCCAACTCCTGTGACTTCTTCAGTCCTCTGTTCCCTCACTTGTAAGATTTAAGTAACAGTCAATTACACCTCATGGAGTGTTGAGGGGAATGTTCAAGAAAGGCCTCTGTGAACCCTTTGGAAAGTCAGCCCTACCCCAGGACCTTAATATAGGGTTTGGCACAAATACAGCGTCACATAACAATGTTTCAGTCAACAACAGATGGCATAGGGGACAGTGATAATACAGTATTTTTGCTATAACTTTTCAGTTTAGAGACACAAATAACATTTGCTACAAGTGCCTATAGTATTCAGCACAGTGACATGCTGTGTTACTCTGTTCTTGCATTGCTATAAAGAAATACATGAGACTGGGCAATTTATAGAGAAAAGAGGTTTAACTGGCTCACAGTTCCGCAGGCTGTACAGGAAGCACGGCAGCTTCTGCTTCTGGGGAGGCCTCAGGGAGCCTTTCCTCATGGCGGAAGGCAAAGCGGAGGCAGGCGTCTCACATGGCAGGAGCAGGACCAAGAGGGTGGCGGGGAGGGAGGGACTATACATTTTTAAGCAACCTGATCTCATGAGAACTCACTATCATGGAACAGCACTGAGCGTATGGTGCTAAACCATGCATGAGAAGCTGATCTCCATGATCTAATCACCTCCCACTAGGCCCCTCGTCCAACACTGGGGCTTACATTTAATCATGAGATTTGGGTGGGGACACGGATTCAAACCATACCACATGCTGTGCAGGTCTGTAGCCTCTCGCCTGCAGCCTCTAGCAATAGGCTACGCCGTGTAGCCTAGGGGTGTAGTATGCTATACTGTTTAGGTTTGTATGAGTACACTCCATGGTGTTTACACAATGACAAAATCCCCTATGATGCATTTCTCAGAATGTTTCGCTGTCCTTAAGTGACGCGTGACTGTATTTGACAAATATTGCTCAGATTCTGGGCCACAGGACAGCATCATGGTTTTGCATTTTATACACCTTGCTGGCTTTCTTAAAGAACATTAATAAGTGCCTAACCAGTCAGGGGGATAAAGGGACATCTTGAAGTGCAGCCCAAGGCTGAATCAGAAATGGCCTGCTGGCAAATGCTACTGAAGAGGAAATCAGTGATCACATTGTGCCTTCCCACTCAGATCCATCCACTTGGGGAATTGTACCCGTGGGCCCTAAGACCCCAGAAAGCGGTTTGGTTCTAGGATTGGGTGTGGGACTTGGGGTATGGCTTCCTTAATTCCCTTAAAAATCCAAGGGAAGAGTCCTAATTAATCACATGGTAAGATGACATTAAAGCTGTTCCTTCCCTTAGGAAAGCAGCTGCCCACCCCCACGCCGCTAGCTGATACTGGCCACTCCTCATCAAATATTTATCCCAGCACTTGCAGCCCTCCATCAGCCTCTAGCATCATGCCAGGGATGGAAGCTGATTATTAAAACTGGTCATGAATGAGGCAGGCAGACTACAAAGTGCCTGGGATGGAAAGGGGGGAACATCAAAGCCCCATATTCTTCCCTAAAGGTCGCCTTCTGGAAGTGGAGGCTGCCTGCTGGGAAAACTTGAAGGGAGTTTGAGGACCTGGCCCCTCTGTGTGCCTCCAAGACTCTGGGGCAGCTCTCGCCCCTTTCCTTCCTCTCCAGTGGGGCAGAAGGCAGCTAAGCCCAAGTCCTGGGGCCAGAGGCCTGACTCCAAGCCATGGGTTTATGAAAAGCAAATAGATATCCTGCCCTGGCTGAAAGACGCACCTCCCTTCACATTGGACGAGAGCCCTGGCATTTCATTAGTGCCCTCTTTGAAGCCTGCCCTTTGCAAAACTGAAAAAGAAGAGAAGGGAGGAAGGAATGGAAGCTGATTCAAAAAGCTTCCTGTATTGTATCTGGAATTTCTGATGTCCCTCTGTGTGGCTTCACTCATTACCTGAGTGGAAGAGCCTGTCAGGCAAGAAATCATGCCTGGTGCTTAATGGAACCCAGGGACCAATTAACCATACTAAGCACCAATGCCAGTGGGCAAAGCACTTCTAAAAGGAATAGGAAAAGACCTTCCTCCTTTCCCCAAATAAAAGACAAATGCTATGTCAACAGCTTTTCAAGAGCGATCTTTTATTTTCTGAAAGTCCTAAAACTGATCCATTTATCAAAAGATGATTGATGCCCCAGTTCACAAACCATATCTTTTTCTCTTTCAGCAAATCCTGGAGCCCCAAGAGGGCTGCAGCCTGAGTGAAGTGGTGACATCAGAACCTGCCCTCCACACCCAACAGCTGGACTGCAGCCTCCTGCAAGGCCTGGTGGATGTGCCTGACCTCTCTCTGGGACAGAGTCCGTTCCATGTGGCGGTACGTGATGCGGTAGCAGTGGCTGGTCTTGTGCGTCCTACAGAGAGGAAGAGAACACAGGTGAGTGCGGGATGAACAAGGCTGTGCCTGAAGGAGCAGTGTGGCTTGCCCTGGCCAGATCTCCCCAACTGCAGTGGAGAACTGAGGTTGGAATCCAGGTACCATTTACCGCTAACAATCTGCATCTTATACAGGGGGAGAAGGTGACAGTCAGGGAAACATTCGCTTGACTAAAGGAGGCTGCTGGTTTCCACTGGGGTGGATGTATCAAAGTCCCCTGGGAAGGAAGCTGACAAATTTGATTTCCCAGGCCACGCTCTGGAGATTTGGATTCAGCAGGTGGGAGGTGGGACCTGGGCTTCTAAGCCTGTCCCCGGTTCCCGACGTGATTCTAACAAGCAGACAGGGTCAGGGGTCAACCCGCGTGTGCCTCCTTCATGTCATGGAAGGTAACCGTGTTTGTGAGGCAAACTGAAGTATCAGCAAGGCTCCAGGCAAGGCTGAGGGACTCACTCCCTCGGCACCCCTGTTGGCTGTCCAGGAAGCATACAGGCCATATATGCCGTGTATGTGCTGTGTAGAGAATTACTTTAGTCTCTCCTTTATGACATTGGTGTTGACTTGGCTTGCATAGAACAGCTGAGTAATTCTGGAATACGTGGAGATGACAGCAGTAGGGCCTTCTATTTGCATGGCAGGTGCTAAGACACACTGGTCAGTTGATCTCATGAGAAAGACCCCTGGGCCATGAACTGGCAGGCCTGGCCCTGTCCCCAACATGTCTCTCACTGGCTGTGTGGCTGGGTGTCTGACATCTCACCATCTCTGAATGCTCACATTTCTCTTCTTCTATACAATAAGGGGATCTGGTCACACAAATTCCTCTTTTCCAACCCCCAGCAGCAGCAGCAGCAGCAGCAGCAGCAACAACAACAGAGGCAACCCAATCCCTTCTTGGCCTTGGGGGAGGAAACTGAAACAAATTGAGGGCTCCCAGGCAGATTCCTTTTATGATGCCGTCAACCAGCCCTTAGCCTAGCCAGGGAGAGGCCACGTGCTTTCTGGCAGGTGAGACAGGGCTGGGCCTTCAGTAATACCAGGGCCTTGAACAAATGGGCTTCTGATTGAGCTGGACCTAGGCCACTCCCACATATTCACTGGAAACTGGTAGTCCCATTGATGCCACCTGAGTCCAGAGCCTTTGCTTCCAGGGTCCTCCCGACACTTCATGGATTGGTCTCACTGGATTCTCTCCTCTTTCCTCTCCCTCTCCCTCATCTGAATGCCAGAGCCCTTGGCTGGGCAGAATATGCCTGGTGCATGAGAGTCTGCCTTGGTCCTGGCCTCCCTAGTCTGCCCCTTCACCTCCCCTTCCAGTGTCTCCTCCCCTCTCTCCCACCCTGGCTTGGTCATCTTTGTCCTGCTTTTGTCCTTCCACTTTCAGGGAAGATAAGCTGCTATGCTGTGCCTCACAGGGTTATGTGCATTTTGGCCACATATGCAGCCCCCGTTTGGATCAAGCCACAGGAGGAAGTTACCACTGAAGGGCTGTGATAAACAAGCTGGGCTGGGGGTGGAAGTTTTCTGTAGGGACCTCCTGGGGATTCCCGATAGCACATGGAGGCCTGCCCCATTCCCTCACCCAATGTCAGCTGCCTGCTTTAGACCAAGGGAGAAATCAAATCCTCTCCCCACCTGGCTCTTTCTTTTTCAGTCCAGCTCAGGCCAATGGCTCTGCTCTGTGGACATTCCTCTGGGGTGGGGACCCTGACTCCTGGGGGAGGCACTGCTGCCCAAACTGCCCCAAGGACCTCCCACAAAGTAGAGTGGTCTTTTCTCCTCACTTTGTGCTCCGAACAACAGTACTCCAGGTACCATGCCCACCCAAGCCTTTCAGGCACCAAAACGCAGCGAGACAGAAAAACCTGGCTTTGAGAGGAAAACAGAGGCTCTCCAGGAGTGGGAGCTTATGAAACTACATAGCCAAGACCCCTGCTGCCACCAAGTGCTGACCCATTCCATTCAAACTACAATTGCTCCATTTACAGTTATTTGGTTTTTGACAAGAGCACCAAGACTATCCAAGGGGGAAATGTCTTTTCAACAATTGATACTGAGACAACTGGATATCCACATGCAAAAGAATGAAGCTGAATCCCTACCTCACACCACACACACACAAACTAACTCAAAATATATCATATATCTCAATATAAGAGCTGAAACTATTATCACTCTTAGAAGAAAACAGATGAGTAAATATTCATGACCGCATAGGCAAAACCTCCTTAGATGACACCAAAAGCACAGGTGAAAAAATTAAAAAAAATGATAAACTTGGAATTCATCAAAATTAGGCATTTTTTTTAATTCAAGGCATACAATCAAGAAAGTCAAAAAGGAACACACAGAATGGGAGAAGATATTTGCAAGTCATATACCTGATAAGGGATTTGTATCTAGAATATACAAAGAACTCTTACAACTCAACGATAAAATAGCCAACAACATAGTAAAACAAATGTACCAAAGATCTGAATAGACATTTCTGCAAAGATAAACAAATGGCCAACAAGCACATGAAAAAATGTTCAACTTCAGCCATCAGGGAAATGCAAATCAAAACCACCATGAGATACCACTTCAGGCCCATTAGGATGCTCATTTTAAAAACAAAAGGAAAATAACAAGTATTGGAGAAGATATGGAGAAATCAGGGCCTGTTTAGAAATTGACAGGACTCTGCAAATTATAAAGTGCTAATTGGGTGTGAGGTGAAAGTATCATTGTGGCAATTATTATCACATTGTGTTTTTTCACTGTTTCACTCTGGTCCCTCCTAGCAGAAGAGCTGGTAATATGGCACCTCTAAAAGTTATTGCCAATTGAAGATGGATGGGGAAAAATCTGTTTTCCTATTTCTATGTGCTCAGAAAAAGGCCTCTATAAGGATTCTTGGGATTCAAACAACTTATACAGAGCATTTTGATGAATTAGGTGTAAATGATTCATAAATACATGGATTATGAGATAAATACTCATAATATATAGATATGAGAGAAATACTATTTAGCAGAATGTTTGTTTGGTGATTCTGTTGAATTCAATAGAATCAAGTGAAAGTCAACCAGGTTTGCCTTTTCCTAACATGAATGATGACAGAGAAGGCTTCATTTTCTAGAAACTTCTGTGTGTAGCTTTCAGATGACAGGACATACTCCTGTCTTCCTTTTTCATGTTGGAGAGCTGAAAGAATGGAGCTGGCAAGTGGTCAGGAGTGGAGGACCCTGGTCCCTCATTCTTGAAGAGTGGTCTCCCGAGGAAAGCCACAGGCACATGGAGCTGAAGGTTCTTGGAGCTCATCAGTGAACAGATAAGAAAATTGATTCCTCAAGTGAAAGATGCCCTCAGCAACCAACTCCAAGTGTCTGGATTCTAGTTCTGCTGGTTCTTTTATATCACCCAATGCAGCCTCTTTTAGCCCAAACCCTTTTCAGTCTTCCATCTGCCATGACCTACACTGTCTCTCAGTAACAGCGCAGCAGCAGCAAACATTTATGCACCAGTTTTGTACACCCGTTACTGTTCTGAGGCATTCACATACACCACCTCTTTTAAGTATCATAACCCCATTGAGTAAACAGCATTACTGACCCATTATACAGATGAGGAAACTGAGGCACAAAGACCATAAGTAACTTACCTATGCTCACACAGCTAACAAGTAAGTGGCAGGGCTGGATTCAAAACTAAGCAATCTGGTGGGAATGTAAAATAGTACAAACCACAGTATGGTGGTTCCTCAAAAAGTTAAACACAGAATTACCATATAATCCAGCAATTCTACTCCTAGGAATATATCCTAGAGAATTGATAGCATGTGTTGAAACAAAAACCTGTCCAAGAATGTTCATAGCAGTATTATTCACAATTGCCAAAAGATGAAAATGTCCACTAATATCTGGATGGATTGGCCGGGCGCGGTGGCTCATGCCTGTAATCCCAGCACTTTGGGAGGCCAAGACGGGTGGATCACTTGAGGTCAGGAGTTTGAGACCAGCCTGGCCAACATGGTGAAACCCCGTCTCTACTAAAAATACAAAAATTAGCCAGGTGTGGTGGAGGGCGCCTGTAATTCCAGCTACTTGGGAGGCTGAGGCACAAGAATGGCTTGAATCTGGGAGGTGGAGGTTGCAGTGAGTGGAGATCGCCCCACTGCACTCCAGCCTGGGCAATAGAGTGAGACTCAGTCTGAAAAAAAAATTTTTTTTGGATGGATTAACAAAATGTGGTATATCCACACAATGGAATATTATTTAGCCATAAAAAGGAATGAAGTACTGATACATGGATGGATACTAGATGGAATGTGGATGAACCTCAAGAACAGAAGTGAAGAAAGCCAGATGCAATAGAACACATATTGTACAATTCCATTTACAGAAGATATCCAGAAAAGGGGAATCTATAGAGATAGAAGGCAGACTGATGGTTACCAGGGGTCATAGGGGAGACTGCTTCATAGGGATATGGTTTTCCTTTGGGGTAATGACATATTTTACAACTAGATAGAGGTGATGGTTGCACAACACTGTTCTCATACTAAATACCACTGAATTGTACACTTTAAAAAATGGTTAATGTTATGTCAATTTTTCCTCAATTAAAATAATAAAAACTAGGAAATCTGGTTTCAGAGCCCAGCTATTAACTGTCACCCTCTTCCTTTAATCCCAATGTCCTCTAAGAAGTGACAAGGTTTGCAAGTTATGGAGAAGAGTAATTTCTTTTAACTGTTCTGTTAAAAAATGAGATGGAATGAGCCCATGCTCCTCTCTGGCTCTGCCCTTCCACCAACAGAGGGCACAGCTGGACAGGAAGAATGACTGTGAGTGGGGTGGGCTGTGCCTGGGGCACAGACGATTTAATGTCTTTCCTGCTTATAGGGGCATTAAAAGGTGGTCTGGGAAGCCAGACAGCTGGCTGGGAAAATGGGATGGCTGCAAGGGTAAGAAAGGAAGGGTAAGAGCATGGGGGCCGGGGTGGGCACCACGAGGTTGCTACTGTCCTCCCCCAACTCACGCAGGCACACTCATCAGGACAAGAAGCCTGCCCCGAAGGACAGAACAGGCTGCACTGACTACCTGGAGTTTTAGAGGCAAACAAAAGTTCTCTTTTATGTACTTCACAGCTTCTACTCATAGGCAAAGTAAACCAGATTGCCCATTACTAAGTCTGAGAGGTCAAATCCCATTATAAGGAGTTTGAAGAGAGATTCTAAAAAAATTTTTTTGGTGCTACAATTTCATTGCATTGGGGTATTGGCTAAAATGAGTTGGTCACTGGATAGAGTTTGATTTTTTTTAAAGATTTTGGTATAGGCATCTTAGAATGTTTGAACCTCTGGGGCTTCCATTGTCACCAGTTTATTCATAGATTCCTTTAGTTATTCAACAAACAGCATGTTTCAGTCACTGAGTTGGACACAGAGAAGCACATGAAGGGGACCCAGTATCTGCCCTCAACCAGCTCACATCCGGGAGTTAGCAGCCTGCTGAGGTCCTGCAGAAACCCAGGAGCCGGCTGAGCAAAGGACTGTTCCCTAGTACGCCCATGACAGCAGGAGGGGCTGGTACTTGCTTGGCGATGAAGTCAGCCACACCGCACCCCACGTGGAACCTCATGTTCTCCCGAGATTTGCTCTTCAGTGCATAATTTCTCCCACCTCCCCGAGAACACTGACACGCGCTGTTTGTCTAGTACAGTGCGGCACTACAGGGCCCACCAGAGGGCTTCAGGTTATCCTGCCTGCTAGGAGCTTACCTCTTGAGAGGGGCAAACAGAATATAAGACAGCCCACGCTCCCTGCCATTGGCAGGTGATGAGCGATGCCATAGTACATGCTGTGCCCAGGGCCCACCTCTTCCACTCTCCCACTGCCGCCCGTCAGCTCCCCTTCTGAGAGATTCAGCCTGGCTCTTGAAACTGGAAACATGACTCAAGCTTTTCCTGAAACTTACTTTCACTTGGATCCTGGTCCCTGCTCCAGTGTGAATGCCACCTAACTTTACCATCCTGTACAAGAGTAGCTGCTTGTGTGGAAGCCGAGAGCCAGGGCCAGAGGGGCAGCCCCGTGTGGGCCAATGGGAGAGCTGGGCTGGACGGCAGAATGCAACAGCAGGGAGGGGATGGCATATTTCAATGCCGCCTCCTACCAGAGCCCCTAGACCAAAGACAAGGATGTATAGGTGCTGAGTATAGTCAGGGCTGGATCAGTGAAGCATTCTCAAAACTATAAATGTTTAAAAGGGGTCCCTCCCCAGTGATTATTTTCTTTTCCCGATCAACTTAAGTGATACAACTAACAAGTACCAAAAGCACTGCCAAGAGTGTCACTGCTCTCCAGTTCAAAGTGTGCCAAGAAGGAGATTTTCTAAAGAACTCTCAAGCCTTATTGGAAAGCTGGCACAAGGGGTCAGAGTGTTAGCGAGGGTTGGAATTCCTCTATCATACAACCACTTGGTTTACCCTGGCAACCAAACAGGCTCTGCACTCAAAATAAAACCTTTCCAGGGGATCCAGCCAAATCCCAGCTCCTGCAACATCCACAATAGTCTGCTTCTCCATCTGTGACAGAGCAGCGACTTCATGTTCTTGGATGGTGCGCTCAACACCTCCCAGAATAGATCACATATGACCAGCAGTCACTGCAGCTGCCATCTATTCATGCAGGGATTACTCAACGGGAGAGAAGATGCTGTCACGGGGCAGCTTCCATTTTCAGAGTAACAAACACTGGGTTTCCCCGGCTCACTCCTCATCTGTCTCCTGCTTGTCTGATGCAGAAGCTCAGTCTGGAGCTGCCCACGTCAGAGGCACTGTGCATGGCTGCGAGGGTCAATACGTGCAATGCTTTAGTGGGTAGGGCTGGACTCGGGCAAGAGGCACAGTAAGGCAGGAGGAGGAGGAGGAAGTGAGGACAGGTTCCATGGCCTCTCCTGAAAATATAGAAGTGAATGGGCATGGTGGAGTGGAGAACCAGACTTTGCAGCTAGAGAAACTTGGTTCTAATTCCTGCTCTGCCCTTTGCTAGCTGTGCGACTCTGGGCAGCTTACATCACCCTTCTCGCCTCAATAACTCCATCTGCAGAGTGAGGCGAACAAAACTTGCTTTCCAGGGTTTGTGAGGACTGAATGAGGGGGCGTGTAGAGTGTTAATACAGAGCCAGCCACCCAGAGTAGGCGCTCCATACCTACGCATCCGCCCCATCTTCCTCCTTTACTCCTGTGGCTTATTGGAGAGTGTAATGAGGCTGTGGGGGTGAGGGACTTGTATTTCCTGTGTTTCTTTTACCCTCCTCAGAGTTTGGACTCTGACTTTGGACTGAGGATGGGAAGAGATTCCTTCCCCTGGAGCACGGATGCATTAGTTAGCTTTGGCTGCAACAGTGAAGTGAGGAGTGGAAGTCAGATTGGGCAGGATTTAAATAAGTGGTCTGGAAACTAAGTAAATCATTTTCCCCCTTTACCTTCTCTATGTTAAAAAAAAAAAAAAAAAACCAAAAGGGAAGAGAAGATGAAATTCTGATCATGAGACTTAGGGTCTCATGACTCTATACGGTTTTCCTAATGAACTGCTCTGGGCTTAATGCAAGAAGAGGACACAGGCCTGGAGGCAGGAGGCCTGGGTGCCAGCCCAAGCTCCTGTGATGACTGTGTGAATCTGGGCGAGTCATTTAACCTCTACTGGCCTCATTTTTGCCCCCAGTGACAGGAGTGGAATAAATGTGCTCTGAGGCTCCTTCTGGCTCTAGAATCCTAGGAGTCACCTCAGAAGACAGAAGAGATCCTTTTATTTATTTATTTATTTGAGACATGGTCTTGCTCTGTCACCCAGGCTGGAGTGCAGTGGCAGTGGCACAATGATGGCTCACTGCAGCCTCGACCTTCTGGGCTCAAGCAATCCTTCCACCTCAGCCTCCTGAAAAGCTGGGACCACAGGCATGCACCACCACATCTAGTTAATTTTTTGATTTCATGTAGAGACAGGGTCTCGCTATGTTGCCCAGGCCAATCTCAAACTCCTAGGCTCAAGCAATCCTCCAGCATTCCCAGAGCCTGCACAGGAAGAAAGGGCAAGGCTAGGATGGGCCCATGATATGAGCGATGGGAGCCGGAGGGAAGCACGCTGGCCTAATGAGGGCAAAGTGCAGCGTGGCAGGGCCCACTGAGAAAGCCATCGTGCAGATGATGGGGCTCCATCAGTTAACAATGCTCTGGACACTTCTTCGCCCCCTCCATCTATTCCCTTTGTTATTTCGCAAATACCATACACGCACTCCCCAGAGGAGGAGAGGAGGTTCTCCTCCTCGTTCTCACAACGGTCTGTCCTGGGCCTGACGCTCCTGTGGGGCCATTCTGAGCGGTGCCTCCCCCAGCTCCCAGCCAGTGAACACCAGTGTTGCCGCTCCCTGCTGCTGCTGTGCCTGTGATTTCCTCCCAGAGGGATTTCTGTTCCTCAGAGTCAGTCACAAGAAACCAGTCCAGATGGTTCCTCTGACAGTTACTGCCTTGGGAAAGACAACTCCAATCCAGGCCTTGATGGAGGCAGGGCCAGAGGCAGAGAGAGAGAGGGCCTCCCCCGCCGGGCCCAGCTCCTAGCCAGCACACGTCGGCAACGTAAGAGTTCCTTAGAGACACGTGTTTTGCAGGCAAGAAATGCTTTTTAACATCAAATACTCGCCAAGTCCTCAGGGATGTTTCAAAACACCCCCAGGTTTTTATTCCCATCACTCCCTGTGACTTCTCCTGGTACTTCCCAGTGAGTGTCTCCTGCCAAGCACCTCCTGCGGGATGTGGCCGAGCTCCTTGGTCCTTGCATGCGTGTGTATATGACAATAACTGCTCCGGGGAAATCTAATGGACTCTCTTATGGAGAGACTTGGGATGCAGACTCGCCCAGCTTTACCACTTCTCAGTTACAGAGTCTTGGGCTAGTTCTTAATTTCTAGTCCAGGTTCTCCTTCTAAAATATAGATCATGAACTAACAAGAGTTTTTGAAGGAATTGAATGAAAAAAATGTATAGGTAAAGTGTTAAGTGTTGTTCATGCTAACAGTTAACAGTTGGTATTATTATTCAGGCAGCTGAAGGTTATCCACCTCTACTTCAGCCCACACAGAAAGACCTGAATGACCTTAGACAAATTATCTGAGCCTCAACTTCCTCGTCTGTACAGATGGATCACTGATATGATACATGCTACAACATAGATGAACCCTGAACACATGATGCCCAGTGATTATTACTAGAAATGCAAGTTGGGAACCCACATTATATTGAAAAACAAAACAAAACAGACAACAGCTCACTGGTGTGCACACAGCAGGGGGGCTGCAATGAGTCTCATGTGATTGGTTTCTGCCCTCCCTGGATGGAGCATCTTCATGATTTCATTAGCTTAGCAATGAAGATACCTTGCATTGTATACAAATGCCTCTTTTTTTTTTTTTTTTTTTTAGATCCTCCACTCTTAATGCTATGGCAGGGTCTGGCCATATTTAACACATTCTTTTCAACTATTCCATTATCTTCTGAGCCATCCTTTTACATTTCTAACAAGAAGTAATGTCTCATTTTGCACATATTTCCAAAGCCCTGTGCTTTTCGTTTGTGTGGAAAATTTGGAAGAGATTTTATTTTTCTCTCTGGCTTAGTCTGCAGAGCCAAAGTCAACAGAGCTAACTTTAACTCTGTACTGTTACAAGGCAGCCTCCCAATCGTGTCGACACTTTGGTGGATGAGTCAGGTAACAGAACAGAAGATCTGTGGCAGGTGAAGTGCTACGTTTCCAACTCAAGCAATTGATCAGCATTTATTTGTTCTGTGCTGAGGTGGACATTGCAGGAGACACAAACAGGTATACGAACTGCTTGATCAATACATACATATTCATGGAGTGGCTGTTCTGTGCATGACACAGTGGTAGTGTGAGGGGAAGATGTATCTCAAAGTTACAGAAAGAAGGATTAGGCTATATTACAATCCACTTGGGGTCCATAAGACATTTATACATGAATAGACAGTCAACAGGATGAAACCATTAATACTAAATGTTAAATAAATGGCATGGACCATAGACAACTTGGAAGTCAGTAGACTGGCAGAGGAGATGAGATTAGGTCTAGATGTTAAAGCACAAGTAGGATTTTGACAGGTGGAGAGCAAGGAGCTCAGTCCAGCTGGCAAAACGTCACCAGAGGTACTGGTGGCAAGGGGCATTCATTGTATTATTTCCCCTTCCATTTCAAAAAAGATTTGCTGAGTATATGTTCCAGGTACAAATGGCCCAATAGGGACCTCTTCAGACGGCGCATGACCTACTGAAAGAGGACAGGCTGTGTACAATCACCGTAGGAAGCTGGCTTTGGCCATGGTATGTCCACAAAGTGGTTCACCCTGTCCAGGAGCGATCAGAGCAGTTTCACAGACTGGCGCCAAATGAACTGGTGATGGAAGGATGGGACATGACTTTGGCACATGGTTAAGTGGTACAGAGGAAAAGCCCTTTCTGCGGAGAGCACAGACAGAATTGTGAGCCTGCACAGACCAGTCCAAGGAATCGCAAATAGCTGAGAGCAGCTGGTCTGCGTGTACAGACGGTAGAGTACAGAAATGGGCTGGGATGCGGCAGGGAGGGGTGGGGTCACAGAAGAGAGCCTTATATTTCTGTTTGAGAAGGCACAGCCAAAAATCCATCATTAAGAAAGCGACAGGAAAAACTGGACCCAGGATCAGGTCCTGAAAAGACTCCTCTGAAAGGCTGGGATGACCCTGCTCTGAGTGGCTTCACTGCATACAGACACCAGCCTCCTGTTCACTTGAGGTCTCATTCCTGGCAAATAAGAGAGAACTACTGAGATGTTAAATGAATGGCACAGACCATAAACAAGTTGGAGGTCAGAAAAGATAGGCAGAGGACATGAGATTACCATGTCACCCATATGGTATTAAGAGCCACCTATCCAAGGAGTTCACTGCGGCATCACCCTCAACCCCCATTATTCATGAGTAGAATTACCTATGACTGTGTTATGTTGTAAAACTTTTATTTCTTCAGCGACTAATGGAAGAAATAGGTTAATTACTTTAAGACTCAGTGTCCGTTAATTATGAAGGAATTACACATCGGTAAAGAGAAATTTGTATACATTTCCAATGACACTGTTATTTTGCAAATACCTTTGAGGGGAACTCTGGGTCTAATTAATTGCACCATCTCTCGACAAACAGTGAGAGATTGAAGGGAAGAGGGGCAAAACAGGGATTTGGCTGGTAGGATGCACCTCCTCCGTCTACAATATTCTAGGCTGGAATATAGCAGTGATATCCTGATTAAATATTCATCATACAAGTAACATGTTCATGAAATCACAGAGTCAAAGGTAAGGCACCAGAGGGGTCTTCTGGTCCATGCTTGAGCTCTTTCTGCCAGGCCTTATGTTGGATTCCTTGTGGGGCAGCCCATTCCATGCTCTGACAGTGTGGGCTCCCCTTATACTAAGCTGACGAGTGTGTCCTGTGTTTCTCCTCACTCGCCCTGGATTCACTCCAGTCCTTCTCCTCCATGATAGCCCTTCAAACTCCTCTACCCGTTTTTGGCAGCAAAACAGCATGACAGCCCTGGCTAGGAAACGCCAGGACCACTGGTGGTCAGAGTCGAAAGGGACCCTGGAAGCAGCACATATGATGTTTAACATCACTGTCCCCATTCATGCATCCACTCAATTCATTTATTCATTCAGCAAATGAATGCCGACCACCCACCATATGCCATGTATTCTGCTGGGTACTGAGGACCTAATGGTGGAATAAAACAAAACAAAACAAACAAGACATGACTTGTAGATTCCACAGTCTAGCATAGGAGACACGCATTAGTTAAAGAATTACAAAGAAATGTAAATTACAATGTGCTAAAAGTTATGGAGGGAAGGTACATGGTGCCATGAGGCCACACAAAAGGGCTATTAAAAGTCAAGGAAGGTTCCCTGTGGAAGTACCAACAAGCTAAGGCCTGACCGATGTAGGAACCGATGGAGTGAAAGAAAGTGAGAGCGGGTGGCGGGCAGTCCCAGACAGAGGGGATGGCACATATCAAGGCCCTGTGATCTGAGTTTAAATTCCCATTCTCCTCCTCTGAGCTATGGGATCTAGGTAGATCGCTTACCTTCTCTACATATGGGTTTTCTCATCTATAACATGGAGAAAACAGTTCTGCATGTCCCGTCAAGCTCAGTTTAGAGCACCACCATCTCAGGGCCTCCTGGCTTAGATCTTTTTTTTTCTAATGAAACAGAACCCCAATCTCTCTGCCCTTCCTATTTGTATCCCCTAAATTACACTGTATGTGGCACAGCTCAAAGCAAAGCTGCTCTAGCTGAAGGGGCAAGAGGACCCCACATACTAGCCTTCTGCCCCACTCAACACAGCCCTTTCCCATCCGCTCCTCAGAACCCCTAAGGCTCAGGGGGCAACTTTAAATTGACTCCATTTTTTAACAATAGGAGAGAGCGAAGCTTCCAGAGACAGCGATTTGCCCAAACTCATCTCAGAATTTACAAATTCAAGTGAAACTTGTTGAAGATATGATGGGAACTCATTTAGGGGAACACATTCTTCCAAAGAGAGAGAAATCCTTGCTCTGCAGAGCGTAAAGGCAGCAAGACAAGCACAAAACAGGTTGGTTGAGGAGGTCAGACACTGGATTCTCAGCTTAGAGCTCCTCTTTGTAAGAGAAGTGAGTTGGTGCGAGTCCCTTCACGGCTCTAAGCCTAGGTAGCCCTGTTTTACAGTGAGGATTCCAACTGCTTCACAGTGTTACTGAGAGCGGATAAGTTTTTCAGGCACTTTATAATTATAAATGACTATTTAAATGTATCACTATAAAAGGGAGACTTCATTTTTGCAAATGGCCCGGCAACATTTAGAGCCAAAATTGGTGAGAAAAAGTAATCTAATTGATTAATATTCCATATATGTTAAAAGAAGGCATAACCATAAAGTAACAAGATATGGTTCCTGATGTGGCTTATTATTGGGCCTATAAAAATTCTTTAAAAAAAAAAACTGGCTGCATTACAGGACTTCAACATAGACCACATGGAGGGTGTAGTGTTTGTCTGAATTCAGAAGTTGCTGGAATGTTTGTGCTTACTGTTTCATAGCTGTATCACAGTTATGGCACATGTCTTGTGGATTCATTTTTACCTTCTAGGGAGGAACGTGACTATCCCATACAACCTCTTCACCTGAAGAGCTAACATAACAAACTGATGGAAACTCATCCTAGAACCATGTACTTCTCTATGAAAACAACTTTTAAATTCCAAATATGCATAAAACTAAAGAAAGCTCTGGGCCTTGCCATCACACAGTGTTGGTAAAATTGAAGACATTTTATTAATAGTAACCGTAGCAACAATAGAGACAATGAACAATTATAAAGTTATGCGGCTTCCAGAGCCCTTGTACCCACATGATCTCACTGGCTGTGATTGGAACAGCCATCCTGAGAGGCAGACACTGTCACCTCCTATTGCAGAGATGCACCCAAATATTAGGTGACAGAGGTGGGATTCCAATTTAGGCATGCAACTGCCTCCAAAGCTATGCTCTTAATCCTGGCTAGAAAACATTATCTGACGTTTGCGGTCAACGTCTCAGCTATATCCCACCTCAAAGCACTAGCAGGTTTCATAAGGCTGATCCCTTGATGAAACTTGAGGGAATAATCTTAAAATATACTTCTGCGAAAAAGTAATTTTGCTTGGGGCAAGTGGGTTGGGTTGGGTTCAAGGGCACAGTTTTTTTTTGGAGGTCTGGCTATCTTTGCTACTTGGATAAATCTAGGGACTCTCCAGGTCTCAATAAAACAGAAATGATGCTATTTGCTCCTAACTACTCCCTCAGTTAGGAAAAATTGAAGCCATAAGACTGAAGCATTGTCAGCAACTTGGAACAAGTAAGTACTAATAAAGTAAAAGTCAGAGTCAATAAACTCTTTCAAAATTGTATTGAGTTGCAGTTGTCCATTTCCAAACTTTGTGAAAAGAAGTGTTCTCTTCTTGGTATTTTCTTACTTCAAAAGAAAAAAAAAAAGATGTCAGGCTTACATTTCTGGGGCACTGGAGAGAAACATAATCAACTTTCTCAAGTTGAAGTCTGTCTATTATGAATGCTTAGGCAGAATTTAATAAGACTGCCCATGGGTTAATTTCAAAGGCAAAATGTCAAGAGGCTTCAATTACGGGCTTGGGGGGATTGTGAAACACTGTCATGCCTTGAAGAAGCTACTGGTGTGGCCCAACATTTTTAGGCCCCATTGCTTCGTGCTGAATTTTTTACTGGGCAAATAAATGAGCACAGGTTGGGTAAAGTGTGTGTTTTGGACAGGTGGCTGAAACATGTGATCGAAGAGTATGTCTACCTCTTTGTCTACCACAATTTTTCCTATGTATGACAGTTAGTTTATAATCAGATAGTATGACTTAGAAAGTTCTAGAGTGATGCAGAATAAGATAAACTAAAGATTCTACTGCTACATGTACCTAGATGTGCTGAATAATGTTAATATGATTTTTTTGACTCTTTGTCCCCACTTAAATCTCATGTTGAATTGTAATGCCCCAGTGTTGGGGGAGGGATCTGGTGGGAAGTGATTGGATGATGGGAAAAAATTTCTCCCTTGCTGATCTTGTGATAGTGAGTTCTCATGAGATTTGGTTGTTTGAAAGTGTGTAGTGCTTCCCCCTCGCTCTCTCTCTCTCTCCTGCTCTGCCATGGTAAGACATGTCTGCTTCCCCTTTCACCATGATTGTAAGTTTTCTGAGGCCTCCCGGCCATGCTTCCTGTACAGCCTGCAGAACTGTGAGTCAATTAAACCTCTTTTCTTCACAAATTACCCAGTCTCGGGTTGTTCTTCATAGCAGTGTGAGAATGAACTAATACAATATGTAAGAGTAGTGACTTTATAAAAAAGTAGGTAGCTGAGGAGATAATAAGAAAGCAAGGGAAAAAAATCTCCAGACGCAAAAAGTAAATAACACAAACCACAGCAGTAAGTGCCCAATGCTGTAGCTACCTGGAGCAGAGAAAGTATCCATTATTGTAACCTAGAGCTTAGATTTTAACCTTCACCTGAGAATGAAAGCTTTGGCCGACATGAACCAAGAAGTTGGAACTGAGATTCCTGCCCGGTGTGGGTATTCTAAAGGGTTGCCACCCTTGATGTAACAGCAGACTAGGGAAAACAAAACAAAACAAAACATATCCTTGGCACAGACTGGCAAAAAGGAATCTTGCCTCTGTCTGGATTTGAAGAACACGGAGAAGAAGCCTACCCTGAAAATTAAAATTCCAGGTCTGTGTCTCATGTGGATTTAGAGTTCAAAGTGTACAGTACCTCAGACCCTCAAGCTGAGAAATTACCATAAAACTGGTCTTGGGAAGGTGCTAACCCTTGAAGACCTGGCAGAAGAAAATGCAGAAACAGCACTGAGGAAAAGGCTGGCCACAGGGGATTGTCTCAGGATATGCTCCAATGAACATAACCTCAAGGCCCCAAATTACAGAACACATGAAGAAATAACCCATTATATACTAAACATAAAAGACAGAAGGATCAGTGTCCCAAGGATTTCAGATACAAGAACAATAAAAAAAGTACTTAAATGATTGAAAATGAATTTAAACAATTAAGAATGTTTAAAATGCTTAAAGACATAAAAGAACCACAAGAAAGAGCATAATGAAAAAAGAATGGCAGGGACATGGATGAAGCTGGAAACCATCATTCTCAGCAAACTAACACAAGAACAGAAAACTAAACACCACATGTTCTCACTCATAAGTGGGAGTTGAACAATGAGAACACATGGACCCAGGGAGGGGAACATCACATACCAGGGTCTCTCAAGGGGTGGGAGGCTAGGGGTGGGATAGCATTAGCAGAAATACCTAATGTAGATGACGGGTTGATGGGTGCAGCAAACCACCATGGCATGTGTAAGAAAACTGCATGTTCTGCACATGTACCCCAGAACTTAAAGTATAATAAAAAAAGACTTACATAAAAATGTATGGAAATAAAAATATAATTTAAAAATGAGTCGCAGAGTTAAATGACAGATTAGACACAGCTGAATGGAGAATGAGTAAATTGGAAGACAACTCTAAGGAACTGTTTGGAATACAGTAGAGAGAAGGACAGAAATGGAAAATATAAAACAGGTTAAGAAACATATAGGATAGAATATGAGTATCAGAAAAATGTAGAGAGAACAAAGAGAGGCAATATCTAAAGAGACAATGACTGAGAAGTTTCCAGAATTAATGAACTCTTCAGACTCAGGAAACATAATAAGTCCTGAATGGGGTTAATTTTTAAAAAACTGTATTAGTCACATTGTAATGAAACTGCAGAACACCCAAGATGAAGAGATGACCTTGGAAATAACTAGAGAAGAAAAATAGGACTTACAAAGCAACAACAAAGAAATAGCTTTCTCAGTAGCTACAAAGAGTTCAGGAGCTAATGGAATAATACCAAGAAACTGTCAACCTACATCAATTATACCCAGCTAAGCTGTTATTTTAGAACACTGGCAAAATAAAAACATTTTCAAAGTGAGACACAATGAAAAGGTCTGCAACTCACATACCTTTGAAGAAAGACCTAAGAAGGGTATATTTCAGGAAAAAGGAAAATGAACTCATAAAGGAAGTGGATGTGAGAAGCTAGCAACATTAACATGATGGTTCAGATCACAACCTATGGAAACTAAGTTTACTCTCTGGCAAGACTGTTTTAAAGCCGTGGTTTCAGATGCCCCAGTCTTCCAGAGATACTCTCAGATGGTTTTCGCAGAAGTGCCCTAGGCTGGAGTAAATAGCTCAGGAGAGCTGATCTCCTGTCCTGGCCGTTACAATCAGTCTCAGGCTTCCCAGAGATCCGACTACTCCCTGGAACACACTGTGAAGCAAAACAGCAGAAGGGCTGAGAGCGCTGGCTCTGAAGGCACACGGACCCACTCTCAGTGCATACTAGGTGATTCCACTGTGGCAAGTTACTGAATCCTTCTAATCCTCAGTTTCATCACCTTTAAGTCAGATAGATATATGTGTATGAGATCCTAACACAGTGCCTGGAACAAAATAAATACTCAATAAAAGATAGCAGTTACTATAATTATCAGTATTACAAGCTTTGTTAATTTGCTTAATGAGCAACACACATATTTATTTAGATTAATAAAAAGTTATGTGTCCCTGGTGTTACTTAAAAAGAAAAAAGTAAGAGCACTGATGTTAACTAAAATTTCGGTGCCATGTGTTAGACACTATGTAGGCAATCTCATACTATTCCTGGCCTGTGAGCCCCTCTAGCTGCATGTGACATGTAGGCAGGTCCTCTCTCAGCACCACCATGGTGCTGGACTGCCACTTTTCATTAAAACTATGAGAAGTTTTAATGGCCGGTGAGTCTCTCTCTGAAAGGCTACGTTGACCATATTTGATTTGGAAGAAGAATGATCCTGTTTGGTTTTGTCTTTTAAAAATCACTCTCTGCAGCAACCTCTGGTCATAGGAAAAATCAAAACAGAGCAGAGAGAGAAGACAGACGTGCTGTTCCCTTTTCAACAGATAGGACAAAGGCATGAAATGTCTATGCATGTTACATGGGGAGGTGATAGGTGGCAAGAGAGGCTGGGTTACTGACAGCTCCGTGCCACAGCTGATCATTTCTGCGATTCATTAAAAGACACTCATTCACTTTAGCCTCCAGGTACAGAAACTGGTCTATTCCAATGACAAAAACAGCAACTCACAAATGCAGGCAAGTGTCCAAGGAGAAAGCTGCAGAGGGATCTAATATCTTGTTGGCAGGCACGGAGCAGAGCTCTATAGCTGGAACAGAGGTTTAAATATAAATTCTGAGTCCTAGAGAAAAATGTCCGAGAGGGCACCCTTTTTCTTTATTATCTACCAAATAAATTGATGTCCAAAGTAGAGTCCCCTCTGGCCACCATCTTTCTTCAAAGTTTGCAGTAGTAACTTTGATTCATAATGTTTTCACACAACACATGTTCTTGCTCTCTCTCTCCTCCCTCACCCTCTCTCCACCTCATTGCCCTCAAATCAAGAACGAAGGGATTTTAGGTGCCTAAAACAAGAGTTTCTACTTGTTTTGGGCAATTTCATATGACTATCTCATATACTTCTCAAACTCTCTTACAGAGCATTACGCTTACAGTAACAATCAGGAAACTGAGAGCTGGGAGGGTCATGACTTGCCAGTTCACCCTGCTGGGTGGGGCAGAGTCAGCACGGTTCTCTCCGGACACCACACTGTCCCTTCCTAAGACATACCTGGGAGAGAGACCTGGGGGGGGTCTTGGGGAGGGCAAGGCGTGGGGTGTCAGGAGGTTTGGGTTCCTATGATGTGGGCCTTCTTCTTACCCATCTGTGTAATCCTGAGCAACTGCCTTCCATCCCTGGGCCCCAGCTCCTTCATCAGGACCAGGTGACCACTAAGATCTCTCTCTGGCTCCTCAGCTCTAAAAGTCTCCAAGAGCTTCCTAGCGCTTCTGTGTCAATCTCTGGTGAGGACAGACAAAAATCTGGGATCCAGGGGAAAGCATGTTTCTAACTCATCGCAGAACCCGTCTGTTCTGTTCCACTCTGGCAGTGATCCTTGCTGTTAGCATACAAGTGAATCAGGGGCTGGGAGACCTGGCTGTTTGTGGCATTTGAAGCGAGACTTTGCTATAGCCATTCTGAATAAGTAGCTACAAAGCTGCTAATTGGATTCGGCAAGTTGCTGAGTCACTGTCGTGTAAGATCAAGTTGCTCTGTGCTGATGATGAGGCCCATCCTGTCAGCTGCCGAGAACATTTTCTTTGTGATTAAAAAGAACAGGAGTGTGCAAAGACACATTGTGGATTAGTTTTCACAATTTACCATGAGTAATTAAAATCTAACAGACCGCAATTAGACAACATCCACCAGAACCTTATTTGCCATTAGTCTTTTAATTAAATATGTCCCATGGTTTAGCTCTAATTTTGCACAGATTTCTGATGGGGGCGGGGGAGAAACAGAGCGCTGGACACCCTGATGTATTGGTTATGACATCTTCCTGGAAGAGGAGGGTAGGGAGGAAGCTTGAGTGTTTCGTATAAATCACTTACTTTCCCTTCTTGGGATCTTTGCACGGCACAACAGAGATATGAAGTGAGCCTGGCTCCTCACTAAACCACCTCCGGGCACATGACGCATCCCAGGACACCCCATGAAGAGGGGCCAGGGCAGAGCTGGTGGGGGACTTTGATTTTTTAATCTTCCAGCACTGACAAGGTGAGAAGTGGGAGAAATGTGTCATTATGCCTTAAAAAGAAATGTTTAATAGGGCACTCAGGCACAAACTGAAGTGGAAAAATCATTTTTAAATGGAAGAAACTGAGAGTCCTTTTTTGTGATCTCATTGGCTTATCATGAAGGAGGAATGTCAGTGCTTGGCATGTCCAGGGTCACTGTGTGGAATCAGAGCCATAGAACAAGGGCGTGGGGAGGACCTGTCTTCCTGTGCACAGCCCAGGGTTGGGGGTGGCCCAGGCCAGCACAGGCTTCCACTAGGCCCACCCCTGGCACTAGTGGGCAGAAAAGCATTTACTCCAAAAGCCTCCTTTGGAGTTGGGCATGGAGAGGGAGGAGATATTCTACTCTAGAAGCTTGGAAAGGATCCATGATTGCAATTAGATTTAAGGACTCTTTTAAAGGATTCCTCACTAGAATGAATGTGGGTGAGGACAGAGTTAAAGGCAGTTCACACAATGGCTCCTTCTTAAGCTTGCTTTTTGCCCAACAGGAAAATGGTGTCTACTGCTTGCTGAGAATTGATGCATTTGTATTATTTCAACAGCCATCAAGTGCCCAGGATAACAGCACCTAAACCCAAGGCCAGAAGATGCCATTTGCCTGATCAACTAAAAGTAGATGGAAAGCCCAGACTTAGCCTGACTCCATTCATTGGCTACTCATGGCTTTCCTTCCAAGACTGACAAATTGCGGAGGTTCAACTTATATGATTTCCTAATACAATTAAAATCACTCGAGGGAGAGTCCTTACAGAGAGTTATGTTCCAAAATATCATCTGTAAGACTGAGTTTGGGCCTGGAATGCATCGTACAACTCAGAAAAAACATTGAACAGTATATGGTGTTAGGATTCCGGCCCAGCCCCCCAAAACCCGCCTAACTTATTATATTTACGAAGTTCACCTTAGCATGGGAAAATGGAAGCATCAAGTTCTAGGTTGAGTCAATTGGGTGTCTAGCAAAACAATATCCAAAATGATGGTGACGAAAGACTTAGAAATCCTAAAAGAAGGGGTTGACCATGAGAGATGATCACAGATGAGTGGGGAAGTTGAAAGAGAGCCTATTAATAGTCATGTTTTAAAATATTCTAGCCTTTCTTTCCAGGCAGAAATAAGAAGCCACCAAGAAACGCTTTCAAAGTCCTGCCACCAAAATCACAACTCCCCCGCCTCCTGCATTCACACCAATCCTGTTCGTTCTCTTCTGTCCCCTCCTGAGTCTAACCCTACCATGGCGAGCTGCATTCCACTGCCTTCGACTTTTCAGGGGCCTTGTCTACCATTGATCCCTTCTTCCTCCTGCACCTGCAACCCCTCTTTCACCTGGGACCCTTCTCTTCCCGCCTACCAGCACTTAGACAAGCCGAACTCACTCCTGACTGGGCCTCCTCTCTGGTCGTCTTGTTTATCTCTTGCCTGTCCTTCTCAACCAAGCTTCCTGAAAATATCTCCATTGTCCAGCCCACTGCCATCTTGTCTGATCAAGGGTACAAGTAGCAACTGAAGGCCGGTTTGTGCATCAGGTGCAGGGCTGGGTCTGCGTCCGAGGAGAGAAGGGTGCCCAGTCATCACTCCCACGAGGGCATGTTCTTCCCCTTCCTCTATATCCTGCCCCACCCCCGACCTTCCATTTCATCAATTCCCGCTCATTCCTCAGGTTTCTGCTTGGAAGGTCCTCCCTGGAAAAGATTTCCCTGCCCCACTCTTCTAGGTATTCCCCTGGCATTGCCATGCTGTCGTATCATGATGGTCTGACACTTGTCTTTTCCCCCAGTCCCAGACCCACTAACTCGGAGAGGGCAGGGACTCTGCCTTTCTTCACTTTCACATGCATCTCCAGCACCTGGCATGATGTTTGGCCCACAGGAGGGGCTCCACAGATACCTGGTGAATGGCAAATGAACAAACTTCCTTACTGGGTGGAATGCGTGTAACTCCCCGCAGGCCCAATATCCTCAGCCTCCCAAGGGCCACTCCGCTCGGCCAGCTGGAGCACCTTCGTGGCAGCCGTGAGTGGAGGCAGCACACAGATGTGGACCTGGATTGCTTCATGTTCTCTCATTAGCAACATGCATGCCTTCCCTAGTGACAAGCCTTCTTCCCCAGGGGAGGAAGTCGGGCTGGTAGCCTGCCAATGACTGCACCTAGGTTACAGCTTTGGGATGGGGAGGATAAATCTCTTTATGGACTTTTTACTTCATAAACTGTAAACATGCCAGAAGGAAGAAGTTTTCAGGCTGAGAATGAACCTTGAAGAGCAAACACTGTTCACAGGGGCCTTCAGCACAGAAGGCACGGGCCAGGGTCTGAGGCCTGAGCACAGCACGGTTGGTCTGAAGGACCAGCAGCTGTATCTGCCCCGCCTGGGTCAGTGCCAGTCCCAAGGAGGAGCTGGCAGCAGGAGGTGACACAGAAGCCCCTGGCTGGCCTCTACTGCCACTGGCACCTTCCATCCAGGCCACCAGCAGGGTCTCTGTTTCTGGTCCTCCCCACCCTGACTGCAGCCTTCTTCCAATCCCCACCACAGCTGGTGAGATCCTTTAAAAACATCAATCTGATCATGTCACACCCTGCTGAAAATGCTTAGCCAGCCTGCCTGTCCCCAGCCACTTCCTCACTCTGTTGTCCTGCCTCACTCCTGCAGCTGGAGCCCCACAGCCCTTTGGCGTGTTCTTGGAGGCATTCTCACAGGCTGCTCCCACTCCCAGACCTGGACCCTTCCCTGGGGGAGGGCTGGTATGAGGGGACGGGAGGAGAGGACTGGGCCCGTGGCTCAGCCCCCTTTTGGACCAGCTCATCTTCTGGCTTGCAAGGCCATCTCTTCAGAGTTGCAGTAGAGGTGACTTCTGGGAAGGCAGGTTAGGGAGCCTGACTGTGGCTATAAACCAAGCCATAGCCTCTCGTTTCATCATAACAGTAATGAACATTTGATCTTCGCCTGATTCCTGTCTGTACTCTTCATGACATCTGAACTCAGCAAAGGAAGAGGGATGCCACTGATAGGTCCCCCTCAAAACATCAACAGACCCAATCTTTTACAGTTGCAGGCTCACATATACAAATTAGAAAGCAAAGCAGCAAGCATCCACAGCATTCGCCCACAGGCAGCACTTAATTTGTATTGGTTGAATGAGTGAATGAAAAGTATTCAGAACTGGCTGGCAATAGTTGAACTAACTCATTTTTGGTTACTGCTCCAGGCTCTGTCACTGACTAGTAGTGTGTCTTTGAACGAGTTACTCAGCCTCTCTCGGCCCCAGCCATGCCATTAGGACAAAATAATATACTGGATGTAATACACTTAGCAATTGTCTGGTATACACTGATAATCAATGCTAGCTCTTTATTTTATCAGTTTTTACTCTTATCCCTGATTGTTGCCCGTGGCCATGATGGCTGGCTGGACTCATGCCTGGCCCTCACCATTCTTGGGGAGAAAAAAATGGCCAAGCACATTAGCTTTGAGGCTTGAGAGTCCCAAAGCTTTTGAGGTTATTTTCTCTTTACATTTTCTGCATTGAGGTTGGCTGTGCCCTTTGTACCAAACATGCCATCTTTTCCACTCGAGATGAGTCCCTGAGACACACTTATTTCTAGCTTTTGAAAAAATGAGAGGTGTCATTTTCTCCCTTGGCCAACCACAAAGAAAGGGGCTCCAGGTACCAGTGGGAAAGGGTGAAGGGGAGAAGGCCCAAGCCTCAGGAAGCAGATTCCTGCTCCCACAGCAGGGATAGTGATGGGAAGCCGAGGGGAGAGGTGAGAGTGGGTAGGAGGGGTGAGGGAAGCAGAAAGGGGTAGCAATGGGAGTTTTCTTGGGATGTGGGTTGAACTGGGTTTGGAGGCAGATTTTGAGCAACATTATTTGTTAAAGCTATTTCAGATGAACTCTTGATCTCAAGAAATGATCCAGGATGAAACAATATTTCAGAAAGGAATGAGCTTAGAATCAGAGAAAATGGAGGCTTCAGATATAGATTTTTAAGATCAGTTGATCTCTGAATTGAATAATTTTAAAAAGAGAAGCATCTTGGGTGTATAAAAAATGGGTTGACAACTCAAAATACTTCAGCAATCAATAGGAAAAGATTATTTAGCAATGAAGTGAAGGCTGTCAGGTGACTGCCACCTCTGTCCTTCCAGCTCTCAAGATTACATGCACAGTTTCAACAAGTGACTGAACCCTCCGATCCTCACTGCAGGGGCTGCTGGGTGCCTCTCAGGCATCCATTCACCTCCATCCATTGTGGCATCCAGCCTCTAAGACAGTGCCCAACAACTCCTGCCATCTGGCACTCATCCCTGGCCTGAGTCCCTCCCACATCGTACTGGGGTTGGCCTGTGAGACCAACAGCATATGGCAGACAGGACAGGGTGTCACTTACTTCACACCCTACATTTAACCCAGAAGCAAATCCCACAGGCTCCATCTCCAAAACATATCCTGCACCTGAGCACCTCTCACCACCTCATCACTGCTATCCAACCACCACCATCTCTTGTTTACATTTTTGCAATGGTCTAACTGGGCACCCTGCTTCCACCCTTGCCTCCTTATAGCAGCCAAAGTAATGCTGCTAAAGCAAGGCACATCACATCCCTCCTCCTGAAAATCTTCTAGCGTCTTCCCACTTCCTCCAGAGTAGAGGCCATCCTTTCAGTGGCTACAAGCCCATGTGATCTGGCTCTCGCCTGATCTTTGTGACCTTATCTCTTTGCGAAGCCCATCATGGACCCTGCTCTAACTGCTGTGGCCTCTCTTGGCTGGTGTCCATGGTACCACTGCCTGTTCCTCAAACTTGGGGCATGATGCCGCCATACCCTTTGCAACCGCTGCTCCCTCTGTCTAGAATGCTCTTCCCAGTCTCCATCTGGCCCACTCCTGCATGTCTTTGCTCATCTGTTACCATCTCTGCAAAGCCTTCCTTGACTGTCCCATTTAAAACTGCACACGCTCTCCCATCATAATCTAAAGGTCCTACATATGTTTCCCATTTATTTTATGGTCTGCCTTTCCCCACTTGCCAGCTGTACATGCACAGAGCTTTCTCCTTCTTAGTTTTGTTCTCTTCTGTTGTCTTTGAGCCTGGCAAACAGCAAGGGTTTAATAAATACTAGCAGATATTGATACTGATCACTATTAGTGATGTGCACAGTTCCATGCACTGACTGGGGCGACAAAGATGAATAAGACCTGACTCTTGCCCTAAGGAAGCTCAGCCCCCACCCCCACCTCTGCCTATTCTCCACCCTGCTTTCTCCTGACAGAGCCCGCAGTCTCACCAGCCAAATCCTGCTGCCACCTGGAGGCCAGGACAATATTCACTGAAGCCCTCGGCCCAAGGAGATGCTGCTTGCAAAGAACTTTGGTTTGAAAAAATGAAGAGCACCCTGTCACCCTGCTTGGCTCGGGGACTCTGAGTGGCAGGACCTCAAAGACAATGGGGACAGAATGCTGCTGTCTGGATTGCACTCCAAGTGCAAATGAATGTATGGCAAGCAGACAAAAACCTGCCGTTGTCAAACACATAAAGCAGATACCATCCGTATGGAGTAACAGTGCACACACACAGACACACGCTCTTTAAAATCCCCTCTTCCACGCACCATCTAAGGACCACGTGGCCATCGTGTCACTGTCTTTGTTCATGAGGGCAGGTTCTGACTGCTCCTAGTGGAAAGCCTGCCTGGCTTTGGGTTGGTCTCAGCAGTGTAAAAGGATAATTATCTGCCGGCCGCCTGGGAATGTAAGGTATCAAATAGATTACCTTAGTAATTAAAATAATGAAAAGAATCATCAGGACTAGAAGATATTTTTTATCTTTTTAATTGAAGACTCTAAAGAAGGGCTAAAATATGAATTGGAGAGGAACATCCTTATTAATCCATCTCATAATTACAGGCATGCAGTTGGAGGCTTGTTGCCTCCTCACAGCCTTTTGGGGTTCCTTCCAATGACGAGGTCTCCCCAGGGTTCTCCTCCGACTCTGTACCACACAGGGTCACAGAGGGCTCCCCCTGATATAAAGGTGGCTGTAAAGATCTATTGATTGGTGGGGTGCAGTGGCTCACACCTGTAATCCCAGCATTTTGTGAGGCCGAGGTGGGAGGATGACTTGAGCCCAGGAATTTGAGACTAGCCTGGGCAACATAGTAAGACCTCATATCTACAAAAAATACATAAATTAGCCAGGCATGGTGGTGCGTGCCTTGTAGTCCCAGCTCCTTAGAAGGCTGAGGTGGGAGGATTGCTTGAGCACAGGTGGCGGAGGCTGCAGTGACTCAAGATCATGCAGTGGCACTCCAGCCTGGGTGACAGAGTGAGACCCTGTCTCAAAATAAAAAAGACTCATCGATTGATTTATTCTCTTCTTTGCAGCAAATGGACATTCTGCAAACAGACCTTCTGATTACACTGTCTTTGAAAAGAACTAATAAAGAATCAATTACAAGAGATATACACAAACAGAAATTGGTATTTATCTATGCAGGATATCTCCTGACAAATGGAAAGATGATTAAAGCACAGACACACATAATGAAGTGTGTCTATTTAAGATGGCCTACCTCAACTGTTAGTGCGCTCTGGCTGGCACAAGGCCATGGGTGGCATGACAGATGTCCCTCCTAATGGCCTTGGAAACCACTCTCTAACTTTGGATTTCCAAGAAATCACTTTAGGGGCCATTTTCCCTGAGAATTGGGCATCATGAGAGATAGAAAGTAGAACAGGGCTAATAATAGCTTCATTGCTGCTATCGCCCTAACTCAGTCAGTTTTATTTCATTAATGGCTCTTTTCTAGGATAGCATTTTGTGGGTATATTTGTGGATGCTCATTGTGGCATGAATGGTACAGACTAGGGTATAAACACCATGACTTTTCCTAAAGAGTGTCAAATGCTACAGGTACAGGTAAGGTCGTGACTAGGATGATCATCTTGATTTCCTTTGCCACCAACATTTAATTGCCAAATCCAAACAGCTCTTGATTCGGGCATTATTTTTATAATTGTTCATTATATTATGTATTTATTTTTTATGCATTTTTATGCATGTGTGTTATATCTAGCCATAAAAAGGACTGAAAGATTTAATGTGCTGCCTCCTGTTAGGTTTCCTTGGCTATGCGCCAATCACGGGACTGCCCTGAGCTTTGAGGTGTGTTGCAGAAGCCACTGAACACTTGCCCTGTGTTCTGGCCTTTATCCATTTTGGCTCAAGGGCAGAGCCAGAGTGGGTTTCCTCCTGCTTCCCAGAAAGTGAGCGCCTTCCCGATAAGCTGCTGAGGATGTGGGAACAGACAGATACCGCTGGGCAGAAGAGGCAGGCTTGGGAATCAGACAGAACTGGGTTTGCAACCCAGCTCTGCTACTTAGTCCTGTGATCTGGAAAAGTTAACTAACCCCACAAAGCCTCTGCTTCCTCATCTATAAACGGAGACTTAACGGTACTTATCTCAGAGGACTGCTGTAATGGGTAATTTACTAACACTGATTGTTACCAATGCGAACATACTGTTGGTCGTGGGTAACAGAATTTCCAATCCAAACAGCTTCAAAGGATGCAGAACTGTGTTGGACTGAATTCGATTCATGAGGAGGAGGACAGGGTTGTCCTGCCGCAGTGGTTCTGGCTTGGTCTCTCCACCCCTGTTCACCTCTGCTGTCCTCTTTGTGGCAGCTTCGTCCCTAGGCCTGTAACAGGCCCAGCTGCTCACCCTCCCCAGGCTTCTCTCTCCAGAGTGAGGCATCACTCCCAGAGGTCCTCAGATCTCGCACACCTTCCCCTCACAAACCACTGTTCCCATTTGGGTTATCCCCTGTTCCTAAACCAATCCTGTCTCACAGGAAGTAGTGTGCACTGACTGGCTTAGACCTGGTGAGAAAGCTGGGGTTAATGCCCCAAATGGCCGAGCTCCTATATAAGAGGTAAGACAGGAAGGACGTTGAGGAGAAACGCACGGTGAGTGTGACACACACATATGTGATTAGCACTCAATGAGTGGAAACTATTACTGTGTAATAGAGTATATAACAAGACAGTTATTAAATGCCTGTTGATAGAATACCTTTGTTTTTAACTTCCTCCAAGGAGAGTGAAACAGCTGACTTTGAACTCAGCATGTTTTCAATGACAATGCTTTCCAAGCTTCCATTCATCTTCTTTCTCCCCCAACTCCTCCAGACAGTGGTGTCTACCAACAATGTGCTCCCTTATGAAGCCACCCTAACGTGAAAACAGCTTCGGTGCCAGTGTGAGCCTTCAACAACAGCATTCGAAGGAACATGGTTTTGTTCTAAGCCAGGCTTGCTACTGATCAAATGCTAGCATGAAACTTTCATAAGGTTATTATAGAGCATGGCTTTCACCTTCTAATATTCAAGCTGTTCTATACAGTTGCAAAGGGACGACAAAACTAGGAAGTGCTCCTGTAAATCAATACAAACACTGTGGCCTTTCAGCTGCTGTCAGGAAGGTGATGTAAGGTCCTGGCCTCATCCGTTGGCATCCAGAGCTTGTGGCCAGCACCCCCAAAACAGGGTGGGCTGTGGATTCCAGTGTTAGGGCTGGGGTGGGTGAAAGGAGGTCTCTGCCATTTCCAATGTGGTCATTTGAAGGATGTGAGTCACCAACTTAAGGCTGGCCCATCAATAGAATTTTAGAGATGAGAAAAGTGAAAGGTTCAAGAGGGAGCTAAAGTTGCCATTTAATCAGATATTGGCATCCTTAAAGGTTCCCAAGAGAGCTTGAGATGACAGCCGGGAGGGATTTTCAAAATTCAAATACCTGGACATAGCCTACAAGGCAAAATTGATAATGCCATTGATTTTTGGGGCCCATATATCCTGCCCCTGCCCTGTGAGCCTTATATACACCCCACTCCACCCTCACACAAACACACGCACCCCTGGAGGTACCCTGCTGGCCTTCAGGAAACACACACATTCTCTCAGGAGTACTGGGAGCCCATTTCCTGGGAGCCCATTTCCTGAGAACCCATTTCCTGGCAGGGCTGTGGATACTTGCTCCTTTCCTCCTAGATCCAAGAATTCCTTCAATACTATGTCGTTTTGCTTTGTTTTCTATTTAAAGAAACTCTTATGGGATAGAAAGTTTACCAGTTCAGAACAATGTCACCTGATGATTTTTCCTTGTTTGCAATACCCTCAAACGTATCTTCTTTTTTTCAGACACTCAAAAAGCAAGAGGCAAGCAGAAGAGTGGAAGTGGCGGGGTGGTGGGAGGGTAGGAAAATGCAACCAAACAACCAAACCAAGAAAACAAAATGAAAAACTCTGCCAGATAAAAAATAAGAGGAAACTTTGTACAGAAAAAACAACAAAAGTCTCCAACTCTAAAAGCTTTCTACCAGTGAAATTCTCATTGAAGTCAGGGCTTAGAAGGTACTACATATAATGGGGAAAAAAATACTGAGTGCCTAATAAAAAACAACCTACTAGAATTCTTCAGAATTGTCATCCCTCTCCCCGCTCTCATCCCGTAGACTGACTTTGTTCTTTTGTAGAAACTGTTTAGAATGAAAGGGATAAGAAATATGGGAAAAGAAGCAACGCAGAGAGAAGGTTTCAAAGTAAGAGATGGGAGTTAAGCGTGACGATTAAAAGCAAAGTTGTGGAAGGGTGAAAGCTGCACCCCAAATGGGATCTGTGGGACATGAGATGCCGGCTGCATGTGAGCATCTTGGTAACCAAATAATAGGAAAGAATGTAGGAGCAGGCAATCCTGGGGCAAAAGCTGACGCCAACGTACCTATTCATCTTAGAATTGAGACTCTGATCTGTCTTTCCCAAGGCCAGATCTACAGAGAAACTTTCTGTCTTGGGCAGAATAGCTGGCTGAGACATCAGAGAGAGAGACTGAGGAAATATCCCAGGAGCCTGTTGACACAGAGGCCCTGATAACTAAAGAGAAGTCCCAGCTGGGCGTGGTGGCTCATGCCTGTAATCCCAGCACTTTGGGAGGCTGAGGCGGGCGGATCACTTGAGGTCAGGAGTTCGAGACCAGCCTGGCCAACATGGCGAAACCCTGTCTCTACTAAAAAATACAAAAATTAACTGGGGGTGGTGGCATGTGCCTGTAATCCCAGCTGCTCAGGAGGCTGAGGCAGGAAAATGGCTTGAACCCAGGAGGCAGAGGTTGCAGTGAGCCGAGATCGTGCCACTGCACTCCAGCCTGGGCGACAGAGCCAGACTCTATCAGAAAAAAACAAACAACAGGAAAAAACAAAAAGAAGTCCTTCAGCGCAGCCAGGCCAGGAGGCTGTTGTGCAAGCCTGGCTGCTGGTGCATACCCACAGGGGTTATAGACCCCATGGGAGTGGTCCCGTGGAAGCAAAGGTACAGGAGTGAGCAAGGGTCACTGGTAACACCCGCTGAACCATACCCTGGAAAGGCTCCCCCAGCTGCTGGGCATTCTAATCCTGTACATAGTGTGGATGAATCAATAGGAGACCTGGAAATACATGAAGAACATATAGAAGGGCAGGGAAAGACACGGCATCATAGGCGAAGCTGTTGCATGACCAATGCTCTCCATTCCCATAGCATCCACACGCCCTGTGCATCTCCCGTGCAGTCAGCATAGGGTAACTCTCTGTACAACTGTGGGCCCAGTATACAGAGTCAGCTGGAAGAACAAAAGCTAAAAATGTGAATCTTACTAGTACTTGGTTAAACCTTTCTTCCTCAAACTTAAAGTGACTGTTGGTTTTAACAGGAATTAGTTCACCAACTCTCAGGATGCTTTAAGATCTGGATGTGCACCAACTCTCTCGGGATGCGGAGGTTGGTGTGGGAGGAAGGGCAGGCATTTCCAGAGAGGCCCTTGGGGACCCTGCCGCAGTCTGTGTTAGCACTGACTTGTTTGAACAGTGTGGCAGTCAGAAGTGAGTCCATTTTCCCTTTAGTAGATCCAGTAAGCTGTCATGCATATTCTGCCTCAATAAGGCTCCTGGTAAGGAGAACAGGCCATGAAGGGCAGAGTGTGCCAGCAGTAATCTTCTCAAAGGCACTGGTCTACAAAAGACGGAGCCTGGGAATGAAGTACAACACGGATCCTGGAGTGCTGAAGTCTCTAGCAGTGGGGCTATTCCCCCCAGGTTACAGACTAACGAGTTGTTTCCCTGCCTTCAATGTCCTGGATAATGTGTGCTTGCTTACTGGGGATAAAAGGCAGGTCTCCAGGAGGGTTTCTCTTTGCCCAGGTGAAGCACGCTTTCTTCCTGCAGGTAAGCGGTGAGCAATCGGAAAACATAGCATCTGGAAACGGGGGCTTTTGTGGCTCCACGACAAGCCTGGGAGGGAGGTTTGTAAATATCCGCAGTGCTGAAGCCAAGCTGATGGATTTTGCTTTTTTGAAAAAAAAAAAACCCTTACTTGGTACTTCATTTTGATTAGGAACAACCTTTGCACAGGTTGTGCGTCCACAGGCTTAAGAAATCTCTACTATTTACTTACCTCATTGGTAAAAATTAAAATGGCCTCAAAGGTCACATGTATTTCAAAAAACCATCAAGGCAGGCTGCTCTACAATGAGGTTCCCAAAAAACTTATTTCGAATAGTTTCCTTACTTTTAAGCAACAGCTGAAACTTTCTCGTGTGTATTTTATCATGCCTTAGATGAAAAAGCTTTGAAGGGCCCTAACCCACTCTAGGAGGGGACCCATGATAAGCCTGGAGGAGATACTCTAGACTTCCAGTGTCCCCAGGACACATTCCCTACCAGCACACAGCAGACAGATGCCACTGTATGTAGTGGTTTGACCTGCTCTTCACTTTGGACTAAAACCATGCAGTGGTCGGAAGCATGGACTCTGGGGGCCTTTAAACCTCGGTTTAAGTCCTGGCTTTGCTGTATGACCTTGATGTGTTAATTTTTCTAAGCCATAATTGCTTTGTCTGTATAATTGGGTCAGCAATAGTATCTACCTCGTAGAGTTGCTGATGGGATTAAATCAAATGATGCAAGCAGTGTGTTTAGCGGGGTGGCAGGAACATGACAGGCTCCAAGAAGAGGGTCTGGATGTAGACCCAGGTCAACTCCCCTGCCTTTGCTCACAAAGGCTGTGTGACCTTGTGGCGGCACTAGGCACCATCCTGCCTGACCTACCGTTCTGGGTAGGGGAACCCCTCACCCACTGTCCTCCTGGATTCAAAGCAAGGACTACAGAAGAAGGTTTAGAAGGAAGATTATTTTCTAACACTCCAGAATTTTGCTGTAAGAAGCAAAGTGATCGCTGCTAGCCTGAGAAACATACATCTGTCTTGTAGACATTTCCCGTGAAGATGGTCCTGCCTCCTACACACAGGCCACTGGGCACCTGAGGGCCCCAGGTCACAAATTCCTTCTCCTAAGCCATTTTGAATTAATTTTAAACATAAAAAACAATCCACTGCTTTATTTTGTTTTTTATTATTGCTTCCCAGGAATAACTGGTCAAACAACAGGCAGGTGTTCCAACTTTGCCAAAATTGGAAATGGCCATGCTAGAAGTTAGGATTCTTGATCTTTTTTTAATTACAATTTTTTTTTTTTTTAGAGACGGGGGTCTCACTATGTTGCCCAAGCTAGTCTTGAACTCCTGATCTCAAGCAATCCTCCTACCTTGGCCTCCCAGAGCACTGGGATTACAGGCATGAGCCACTGCACCTGGCCAGGATTCTTCATTTTTTGATACATGCAACAACTTGGATGAATCCCAAGGGCATTATGTTGAGTGCAAAAGGCCCATCTCAAAAGGTCACATTCAGTGTGACTCCGTGTACATAATATTCTTAAAGGGACAAAATTATAGAGATGGAAAACAGATTAGTAGGTGCCAGAGGGTAGTGATGGTGGGGGTAAGGAGAGCAGGTGTGATAAGGACTAGCACAAGGGAGATCCTTTTCGTGACAGAATGTGGCATGACTGATGCCTGTTCTAACGAGTCATTGTCCAGGCTGCGCTGGCTGTTAAATATTATGAATATAACCCCTAAGCGTTCCAAGATTTTGTCTTACGTTCTAGAAAATGAAAAAAACCGACAACGATACACACGCAACTCTTTGGTTAAAGTTTTATGCTTTCAGGAGTCTTGAAACTGCATTTTTTTTTTCTAAATGTATGGTCTGTGTTAAGTTTTTTTATTTTAACTGTTGGAAAGAAATCTGACTAGCTTCGTGACTCGTAACCAACTCTTCTTGCTGTTACCATATGGTGTTTCCTTTAATAAAAACATTTTACAGAAATAATGATTAAAAAAACTACTTTAAGCTTTTATAAAAGTTAGATGTTTCTGGCAATAAAAACATCCCTTATAATTATGTAGATAGCTTTGTACCCAGTAAACAGGAAAAACTCTGTTCTTGCTGTTTTACTTCTAAGAAATGATGATGCTCTCTGTCATTCATCTTTGGACATATTCTGAATCTCTTACTCATTGACCTCACTTTGGATCGTAGTAATGTACACTGAAAGAACCTGTTCTATTCATACATCTTTTAGGGTTCTGTTTCCTCTGACTGTTTGCAGTACAGCAACATATTCAATCTCTTCAGAGCTCTGGCATACTGTGTCACTTCTGATGAGGGCAGCTGCATTCAACAAAAGAAAAAGGACACATTTAAAAAATTCTAGAAGTAGCTGGGTGTGGTGCTTATGCCTGTAATCCCAACACTTTGGGAGGCCAAGGCAGGAGGATTGCTTGAGCCTGGAGTTTGAGACCAGCTTGGGCAACATAGTGAGACCCTGTCTCTACAAAAAAATTAAAAAATTAGCTGGGCGTGGTGGTGTGCATCTGTAGTCCCAAGTACTCAGAAGGCTGAAGTGGGAGGATTGCGTGAGCCTAAGAATTCAAGATCACAGTGAGCCATGATTGCACCACTGCACTCCAGCGTGGGTGACAGAGCAAGATGTGGTCTCTAAACAACAACAACAACAAGAATAATAACAACGAATTCTGAAGGTATGCAGAACAAAGCAACTGCTAATAGTGCCATGGGGAATCTGGGCTCTTCTTTCTGTCCCACCATCCTTAGGAAGCAAGCCACGGTCTTCATGGGTTGCAAGATGGCTGCTCCCTCTCCAGTCCTCCTATCAGCAATGCACAGATAGACGGAAGAAGGGTACATGGTAAAAGGCCAAAGGGGCATGCCAGACAAAAAGCCCTCAGGGAACCTCATCCAGAAATTTCTGCTTATTCTCATTGGCCAAAACTGGGTCACATGACCACCTCTAGGCTGGGATGGGGAAGTTATGCATGCAGGCTAGGTCAGCTGACCAATGCCATCTGCCACTCACACTATTCCAGAAAGCAGGGAGGGGGCTCACTTCCCTTCCCATAGGATCTTCTTTCTTTTTCAGACAGGGTCTTGCTCTGTCGCCCAGGCTGGACTGCAGTGGCACAATCTTGGCTCACTGCAACTTCCGCCTCCTGGGTTCAAGCAATTCTTCTGCCTTAGCCTCTTGAGTAGCTGGGACTACAGGCACATGCCACCACGTACAGTTAATTTTTGTATTTTTAGTGGAGACGGGGTTTCACTATGTTGGCCAGGCTGGTCTCAAACTCCTGACCTCGTGATCCACCCACCTTGGCCTCCCGAAGCTCTGGGATTATAGGCGTGAGCCATTGCGCCCGGCCAGGATCTTATTTCTGAAGCCTATTCTATTTCTTGTTTCCCCCATTGCCTTTCAGGATCCCTTTTGAGTGGCTCTGAGTGTATTTCTGTGAAGTTTTCGAGGCTCAGTTTTACTTCTGATGGAAGTAACTGTGTGATCTCCCTTCACGCAGGGTCATCTGTGTTGCTAATGTATGGTACCTGTGAAGTCTGATTTCATTTCCTTACATTAATTCATAGGGTGAAGGGAAAGTAGAGTAAATTTAAATGAATGTTTTCATCCAAAATAATCTGCCTTAGTGTGGAGGGCGAGAGGAAGGGAGCAAACTCACGTGCTAATGGGCATGGTGGAGACAGAAGAGAGATGAGTGAGATGGGATGCAAGTTATTCCACATTACAGCAGCTGAGGCAGTAAATTGGTTTGCCATGTACTTACCCATCACTCTTAGATAACTCTCCCTTCTGGATTAAAAAAGGGGTATTCTAGCACCTATGTGGTTTAAATTTATGCAAGAGTTGAATTCATGCTGGTCTATATTTAAAGCTCTGCAGCCATTTCTAGGATAAATAGCAAGGGGTACATGCAATTTTTTAAAAAAAAAAATCCCTTAAGGTTAAGCTGGAAAAATAGTTTCTAGCTTGTTTTTAAACTACTATCAGTTGAGCTTTTGCACTTGAATACAATCCAAAAAATAATCAGGTGACATGTCTTAGAATCAATGTGGACATAACCTTATTCTGAAGGGCTGCTTGCCCTATTTGCGCTGGTCTTTTTAGAGGCAACAGTTGTGAGGAGGAGGAGGAGAATTCTCTCAGCTCTCCAGAGACAAGAATGTGCCACCTGTGGTGGCAATCTCCAGAGATGCCCCCTAGAGATCCCCACCTCCTGGTGTTCCTGTCTTGTGTGGCCCCTCCCACAATGGACCAGGGTCAGTCTGTGTGTTCAAGAGAATATGGCAGAAGTGATGGTGTGTCACTTCCAAAGCCAGGCTACTCAAGACATGTGGCCTCTCCCTGCTCTTGGGTCACTCCCTGGGGAATCCAGCTGCAATGCTTGCCCTGTGGAGGAGCCCAGGTGGTGAGGAGCTGAGGTCTCTGACCTACAGCCAGGGAGGAACCGAGCCTTTCCTGGCACAGCCGACTGACTGAGCTTGGAAGGGGGTCCTCCAGCCCCAGTTGAGCCTTCAGATCCCTGCAGCATCAGCTGACATCTTGGCTGCAACCCCGTGAGAAATCGACAGCCAGAATCAACCTGCCAAGCCCCTCTGTTTTGGGGGGTAATTCATTCTGCAGCAACAAATAACTCATCTAATATCCTTCCCACTTCCTAAATGGTTCAAGCCAGCTCTCTAATCTTCTTGAGAACAGTTTCCTAAAAGAAGAGCATCAGTGGCTGTCAGGACACTCTTAACTTCCTTATGAGTTTTGGCAAGTCACAAAGCACGGTGCCACAGACAGGTCCAGCCCCACAGCATGTGTTCGATAGGCTGGGGATGAAGGCAGCTCCCAAACAGTGAATTTGAAGGGTTAGAACATTACCGCTATTGACCACGGTTATTAATAGCAAATACGCGGAGCTTCACAAAGGCCTTTCAGACTTCATACTGTTTTATTAGCAGGCGAAAGATAAAGAATTCTTGGGAGAAAACAGCCAGGACTGTATGGTGTACTATTAATTATAATCACAGTGACCACTTATGTGCTGACACTTCACATCTTTCTTTCATCTGATCCTCACAACAGCCTCGAGAGAAACGGAGGCCCCGAGAGGTCAAGGACCCAGGCAGCAAGGAGCGATGGAGCGGATGGAGTCAGGAGTGGGCCTGGAGCTGTCTTCCTCCAAAGCTCCAAGCCCTTAGTCACCAAAGTGTCCAGCATTTTCCTTGGTCCAGTCCACTAGTGTGACCTGGTGAGCTACACACACCAAAGGAAGGATCACAGGAAAATGACGTGGAAATAGCAGTGGATAGAATCAGAGAATCTGGAATCAAACTACAGTTCTGCTACTTATTAGCTCTGTGGCCTTGAGTAAGTTACTTAACCTTTCTGAGTCATTCATACATAGACATATTGCATAGATGTAATTCTATAATAAATGTATAATAAATGTAGCCAGGGGTACGTAGAGTAAAAAAGCCCTTGTTGGCTAAATTGAAAATTAAAGTTTCTAGACTTTGTTTTAAAATTAATAACTAATAATACTGTTTTGCATTTTAATATAATCCACAAAATGACCAGGTGACACATCTGGCAATAAACGCGGAGTGAATCTTCTAGAAAGCTGCTTAGTTTATTGGGGTGGTCTTTCTGGATGCAGCAGTTGTGAGAAGAAGAATTAACTACCTACAGCTAGATACAGTGTACTACACTAACGGTTTCTATCTGTGTGACAGACACAGTTTCTATCTACACTATAGATTCAGATTGTATGTATGCATGTATGTATGTATGTATGTATGTATCTATCTATCTACAAATCAAACAACCATCTATCTTTCCGTCTTATTTACAGAAGAACTCTCCAGGCTCTAATGAACTGTCCTCATTTTGTGTCAATTTCCCTAGGTATAAGATGAATATAATATAATGCCTATATCAAAGGGTTATTAAGAAGATTCAGTAAGATACTTTATACAAGGCATTTAAACTACTATCTGGCTATGTTAAGTGCTATGTACGTGTTCCCTGTCATCATCACCATCATCTCCTTGCTCCCTCTCTACAGAGAGGGATTCTGATCTGATGGGTCAGATTCTGGGTCCAGCTGGCTCTCAAATAGAGAGCACAAGCTGGCCATGTGTTGAAACGGTGCCCACAGATGCATGGCCCCTCCTGACACCCTCTCCTTGCTTTATGTCACAGTGGAAACAAGACTGAAAGCACAAGCCCTGCTTCCTTCTCCCATGTGCTTGAAGTCCTAAAGAAGACCAGCTCTTTCCTATGGGACAAGAGCTGGCTGTGGCTTTCTTTCTCAGGATAATGGGGATTCAGGATTGCAGGCTCTTGTGCTCCTCTGGTCAGACCCCCAGTGCTGGTCTGCGGGGGGCAGGAAGAGGTCTCTTTGGCCTTTAGGACAGGGGTCCTGCTCCAGCCTAGCTTTCTAGAATTCTCACAAGAATTATACAGGGCTCTATTTCCATCTACCACTGGAACTTGCCAAGAAGGGACGGCATTGTCCACAGCAGGTTTCGGCAATCCCAAACCCCTTAGCTATTACACCAGTTTAGCACTCTTGGATCCCTTGATTACTTTTTACAACAGCAATGGTGATTATAATAGCAGGTATTTCTTGTGGACTTACCATGCACTAGACATTCATATATCCATTCATTTAATTCTTACAACAACTGCAATAGCAAGGCTATTCCAATCCCTACTCCATACATGTAAGAAAACGAAGTCCAGAGAGGCTAGTGATTTCACAGGGTTACACAGCAAAGAACTAGGCTGGGACCAAAACTCAGTTCTCCCTCACTTAGGAGCCGGTGTCCTCCATGGTCAGTGGGACCTATCAGTGTGTGGCAGCTATGAGATCTCTGATCTGATTTCATGACACTGAGGAAAACCCAGATAGGTGGGTACAGCATGGACTCCACAGTGTTGCCAAGACTCAACTCTGGGCTACTAATCCTTACATGTTCTTGAGCAAAGGCAGTTAAAGACTGGAGAGTCAGCATGATTAAAATTAGGGCAAGGCAGTGGAGAGGAGGGAGAACAAAAACAAAATATAAACCCACCTGGGGCTATGAAATGTTTTTGGTATTTTGGAAAGAGAGTCAATGGTTAGGATGGAAAAAAATCACATCTTTTTAGAGCAAAAATTCCCTTTCCTGGTCCGTGGTATTGCATAGATTAAAGAAAATGGCCCACGTGACCTCCTGCTGTAATTTGAAATGATTCAGGACACACTCCATGTGTAACTGACAGAACTCCAATTTCCTCTGTTGAAAACGAAATCCCATTTTCACTTGTGGGTATTCCATTCATCTTTGCTTTTTTGGTTTTTTAATTACACAGTAGAAAGTGCTACTGTGATTTCCTCCCCATGTCATGATGGCAGTATTCATCAAGAAGTTTTTAATTCTATACAGCAATTGCTTCTCTTCAAAAATCTAATTTCAATCTCCGCAGAGGCAGAAGGGTAGGATTTTTTGACCCTGAGGTTAATTATCTGCAAATAAGTTAAAATCACACAAAACCTCTTTCTGGGAAAAGGGAATCCAAGCTCAACCCCTCACTTCACCTGTCTGGCCATTGGTGGTGGTGTGGAAGGTGAGGTTGGGTTGGGCACCACCTAGCCGGGGGCTTGGGGCCAGGACTGTCTCCTGGTGGTTGCATTTTCAGAGCCTTGCACAGTATGTGGCATGAAGGAAGAATTCAGCAACTGTGGAAGTGATGTGAAGTGAAGGCAGAGTGAATAGAAGAACAGGATTTGAATCATGCCTGATTTTTTTTTTTTTGAAGGATATGAAAAGGTCCTACCTATCTCTGGTGGAAAAAAGAAAGAGGGAAGCGAAGAGGAGACTCACTAGGAGCTGTCCAGGAGCTCGTGACTGGGGCTGGAGTCCGGCTGACCCATGGCAGGAAAGCTTGATGTGTCCGGGGATCAGGGCTCTTGCTCCCGGGCTCCGCCCCTTGGCACTGTGCTGTTTTTCTCCCTCCTCATTGAGAATGTCCACTCTTCTTTCCAAGTTCTCTAATTCTCTCTTGATGGGCCCAACATTCATTTCATTCATGGTCATTTATTCATTTGCTGAACACAATCTGTGTGGTCTGACATTGAAAGCTGGGGGAACGGGTCAGAAGGGAGAGGAGCTACAGAGATGAGAACAACGAGATCTAACAGGTGTTGCATGCTTGCTACGTGCCAGGCCCGACTGTGAGGCTTTCCCAAGCCTTAACCTGTCTAATCCTTACTGCCTCCCTAGGAGGCTGAACACACCTGGGTCACTGCCCTCCATGGAGGGCTAGAGTGTGCACCGCCATATCACCGACACGTACCTCTCTCAATCATGATACTCCTGTTTCCTGCTACTAGAGCCATTTGTTGACACTGTCACTTTCAACGACTGTTCATTCACTTTTGTGTCCCCAGCATCTAGCATAGTGGCTGGTACATAGCAGGTGCTGAGCAATGTTTGCTGTGTTATTTAAGCGACTTTCAATCCAACAAGAAAGGACACTCACATAAGAAGAACACAAAACCCTGCATGAGGATCATCGGGGACAGCTGTCTCAGTGACGGGGTCAGCAGGACCCTGAGGAGGAGCACAGGAGATAGGGAGGCAGAGAGTGTGGGGGCCAGGTGCGGCTCTACAGGGAGGCTCTCCTAGCTCGGGCTGCGTGAGAGTCTCATACAGCCAGGCCCATACAGCCCAGATGAAACATGAAAGAATAAACCACATCAGGACACTGAGAGGGGGAAGGGTCCCAGCCATCTAGCAAATGTTGAGGACCTCAGAGGGACCAAGGGGCCCTATTTTTCTGATTTTTTCTGATCTTCAGTTTAATGAGAAAGGATGTTGGAGAAGACAGACAGAGATCAAACAGCGTGTCCCAAAGTGAAAGATCCATAGGTTTTGGTGGAATTTCACTGCAAAGGGACTTTGAGCTCCAAGTACACGATACGCCCTGGCTTCTGCCCTGCTATGACATGGTGCTACTCATAGAGGAGTACACAGGAGATCAAAGGGTACAACAGAATAAAACTGTTCATTAAAAACCATACTCCGGTGTGTGAAAAGTGCTCAAAGAATGGCGCCCATGGCTTCTAATCCAAGGGGCAGGAGCCCAGGGCGTGAGTGCAGAAGCAGGAGACATGGAACGAATCTGGGGAGCAAGAGGATTGAGGATCTGGGGCCACGGTCTCTGAGGGGACCAAGGAGACAGCCTCACAGAGGAGGAGAGTCTGGAGGGCTATATGGAGAGAGAGGAGAGCTGAAAACAAAGAGGAGGAAGAAGGGAAAGAAGAAGGCACATGGAAGAGAAGGAGGAAGAGGAAGGAAGGAAAAACAGGAGCGGGGCTTGTCTTCCTCTGAGTGGTAGTTCCTGGGATCTGTCCAATATACTCAGTCTCATTTTCCCAGTTTCTTTATGCCTCTTTTAAAAAGCCCAACTCCCGGTTTCTCTGAAATGACCAATGCTTGTCACTTTCTCAGATCAGCTGACTCTCCTGACAATCATCGGGGGCGGGCTGTATGGTGAGCATGTACACACATGCTCCAGGTCTCAGTGTTTTCTCCAGACAAATGAGCGTGTAGTCATTAGGGTTGATGCTTTCAGAGCCAGCAGTGTGGGTCTGTGTCCCAGCTCTACCACTTAGTAGCTGTGTGACATTGGGCAAGTTACTCAACCTTGCTGTGTTCCAGTTGCCTCATCTCTAAAAGACCATCTAGGGCTGAAAGGATTAACGGAGTTAATCCGTATAAAGCTCTCAGAACAGTGCTTGAAACATAAGCACACAGTAGAACTGGCAATCATCATTGCAGTGGTTAGGGGAGGTAAGATTACTACTACCAAAAGAACCATTTAATAAGAGTAAGTGAAGACTTTGCTCATGACCTCTAGAAGATTGCCAACTCTTGCAAAATCTGTCCTTTGTGATGAATATTTTGCTCCTCTTAGGAGGAGGTTTAATTCCTCTCTACTGGCCCTGGGCTCGGACATATTAACTGATGATGGTGAATTACTGCCTTGTGACACATCTTTGGAAAATAAATCTAAGAAAAACAGTTCTAGTTGTAAAAAAAAAAACCTCTTTGTAATCTAGAAAATCCTTTTTCTACATAAATAGATCTAGGACTCGGTAAGTGATCTTCCCTGTGACCAAAACATTTTCCTCTGTCTTTACCATTCTTCCTTCCCTCTGGTCTCAAAAAAGCAGCATCTCTCTTCCTCCCAAGTACCTTCCCCCAACTATTTAGTACCTTGGATCTTATCCAGCTTGCTCAGTAATTATCTCCTCTATCCTCAATCAATCAATTGCGCTCTCTCGCTGTCTCTCTCTCTTTCTAGAAAGGCTCACAGTTTGAGTATGTTTAGCTCCCAAGGCACTGCTGTCCCAGGATGGATATTGGGCAGCTCAGCTACATGGACAGATGGACAGATCAATGGGTAAGCAGATAGGTGAATAAATGAACAATTATTAAACATTCAGTAAACAAACAGACTGGCATATCTTTAAAATGGGTGGGCTGCCTTGGTGTGATTCCTGTAGACCAGTGGTTCTTATCTGAAGGGAATTTTGCTCCCTAGAGGGCACTGCACAACGGCTGAAGATATTTGTGGTTGTCACAACTGGGGTCAGGGGGCTGCTCCTGGCATCCAGTCAGCAGAAGCCAGGGATGCTGGTAAACAGCCTACAGTGCCCAGGTCAGCCCCCATGATAAAGAATAATCTGGTTCAAAATGTCCATAGAGTTTTCAAAGGTGGCTCTTAGGAAACAGGTAGGTGTTTTCAGGGTAAGTGAAGGAGCATAGGAGTCATTTTATACTTGAAAATATGTGCCTTGAAAGCAAACATACAAAAAACAAAAACAAAGCAGAGAAAGAAGCCTGTGCCTAAAAAAATGAGGGCACAGGTACTTGTGGGTAACCTACACGTCCATCCTTGAAGGGGAAAGAAGAGGGAAAGGCAGATGCAGTCCTCTGAGTACCGAGGAGGACAAAGCATTGCAAAAGACCCTAAACATTTTCCAAGAGAAAAATACAATGAGCATAAACCTCATCTTTGGAAAATCTTACGGCCAGGTGCAGGCTGCTTTTTCTGGACAAGCTCCCTAGCCTCTAAGGTATGTGTCTACTCAGCTGCCTTTGCCCATTTCCTCCAGTGACCCCACTCCAGTGTCCTCAGCCCCTGCTCTCTGGGACGTCCACGCCCCCATTCCAGGGGCAGGCTCTGAGCCTCGCCTCTGCTGTGCCCGTGGGAGGGCTGGGACAGTCACAGGGCCTAACTGGACACCTCCAGAGACTGACGATGCTCTGGGGACACCTCATTCATTAGCACGAGCTATTCATTTCCTTTACCTCGAGAGGAAGGTGAGTCAACACACACTCAAGACCAACTCCAAACACCAGCTGCCCAGGGCCTGGCTCTTTCCTGCAGCAGGAAGATTGATTCCACCTGGGACTAAATGCCTGCTTTGCTTAAGTGCCCTTTTCAGTTAAGTTGTGAAAAACGGAAATAAGAGTCATCTGCAGTATGAGTGAGCACTGCAGATGCCGAAAGCCATCGGAATCTCCTGCCAGCTTCCCAGGTAGCGGGCGTCCTAGCAGGCTTCAGAACAGGCCACTGTCAAGAGCACACCAGCCAGTGCTGGGGACAAGGAATATCTCTCCCCGTCTACCACCTTCAAAAGTCAGTGAAGGGACAGTGGTGAGCTCAGGCAGGGTTTCGGGGCAGGCAGTCCCTGCAACGTAGGGTTGCCGAGGGAGGCCAGCGCAGTGGCTGAGAGAGGAAAGTTTCACCCAAATCCACAGCTCACATCGGGAGAGTACCTGGTTATTTTCTGAAGAAACCCGACCGCGGGAGGCTCAAGGCTGGACTTGCCACTTCTAGTACTCTAAACCCAGCCTCCATTTCTTTCCTCCAGCTAGACTTCCCTGAAGAAGAGGGAGCTGTGTATACTGAGCCTTTCTTTATGATTTAAACCAATTTGCTGCTAGTTATAGCTATCCACGGCGCACAATGTGTTTTTCCTGTCACTTACTGCAGGCAGAGAATCATGTGAGTGTGTTCTCAGCTTTGCCAACAGCAAAAATCATTTTGAAGAAGGCATCCTTTTTCCATGAGTAGAATTATTCCCTATACCTCCTCACCCCCTCCCTGTCATGAATAAACAGTCATTTTAGCGTCAGCAAACCTCACTCCAAAAACAGGCAAAGCAAAACAAAAAACAAAAACAATAAAGCTTTAATGCTCCAAAATCCATAATCCCCCTCCAAATGTCACTGAGTGAAAGCACTCAAGACCCTTCTAAGCACATTAGCAAGCCAAACCAGCCCATTCCCAGCTATTAGGCTATTTTGAAACAAACCCAAATTATTGGGTGGAATTGCAGGCCCGGCCTAATTCCTCCATTTAAGTTTCTCAGGAAACTATCCCTGTGATCGGAAACCCTGGCTACCCTTTGAGATGAACAAAGGAGGCAGACACTGTTGATGAAACATTAATGACCAATTTGCAAATGTTCTCGGACCCTGTTAGTTCATCGAGGGGCCATCAAGGCGGCATCCACTCATCTCTCACTTTATTCTTTCAATTATTTAGCATCCATTAAGTGCCCACGGTGGTAAGCGAAGCTCCCAGGGACCTTTCACCCCAACACTTCCCCTCTAACAGCGTCATTCACCTGGTGGCCCTCCCAGCTGCACGGGCAACTCAACCTTTGCCTTGAGGCAGGAAGCTCATTTAGAAATCAGTCTGTTGGTATCCCTCGCATTACATATCCAAGTGCTGGGGACACATGGCAACGAGCAGAATGTATAGAAGCTCGAGGAAGTGTTTTGAGCTGTCAGAGTGCATTGGAAGAAAATGCACCTGAAAATATGATCCCTGTGGCACTCCAATCTGTGAACTCCTCAGACCCACTTTATCTGGACTTAACTCATTAATTGGGGCGTGTATTAAAGATGTATAGGTGCCACAATGGCCCAAGCATGGCCTCAGTAGGAAGACAGGGATACAGTAACAGCTGCAGGGAGGGCTGAACAAGGCTGCAGACTCACAGAGCCAAGTCCTGACCACATGGAGACCGCGGAATGCACTTTCTTCAGTTACCCGAAACCCGCTAGCGTGGCATTTTATTTAAACAGAAAGTCTCTGACCTGGCCTTTCCTACGTTCTGGCCAGTCAGCACCCTGCCTCTGAAAAGTGTAACAAGTATAAGTGACACCACTGCCTCAGAGAAAGTAGCAGGCGCTGTGAGACAGGCACAAACGCAGTGTTCCAGGAGACCAAGGGAGGAGGGAAAGTTCTGTGCAGAGGAACGGGGTCCAACCTCATAGAGGAGGCTGCATTTGAACCATCTGAACCACTGAATAAAACTAGTGATGAGAGGAACAGCCCCTCCCATGCCCACCCCTACAGCAGCAGCCGCCGTTACTGTTGACTGAGCAGCTTCCTGGGTGCCATGCACTGCAGTCACGCTTTTCCTACCAGTAACAGCCCGGTGAGGAAGGTAGGTACTGCAGAGGCATTGCTCCTTTACAGACGGTGGAAGTGAAGCTCAATGAGGCCAAGTATCTGACCCAAGGCCATACCATTTGCAGTTGACAGCGGTCACGAAGGTATTTGAACTGTGCTTGTTTTAACCAAGACCATCAATGGGATAGCCTAAGGATGCTACTTTCAGCCCCTGTCCAGTTACCCGGGAAGCTCACCCTGGAAGGGCCATGATCCTGAGGAAGCACTGTCTGTGAGGAAGGGAAGGGCCCACTGTCTCTGGTGCAGGAGCCATTGGCTGGGAATTTCCATTCCTAGAGATGGCGGTGCCCCTGGGGCTTAAAGAGGGCAGAGGGGTTCGCAGATCAAGAGCAGTTCTTTAAGAACTGACATGCCCCACCCTCTGGAGCCCTCCATCTCTGCTAAAACAATGGCTGCTCTGCAGTTGTGGTCTCCGAGGCATAGAGGGATCCTGGGCACATGCTCCCTCCTTTACTTTTTCTACTTTAAAAATATCGTTAAGACAATTGCAGAAATATTAAAGGAAAACAATTCATGTGCTCCTGCGCTGCCCATCTTAACACGAGTGCCACTGTTTATCTGTGTTTCTTTACGGCCCTGGCTCATGTGCAACCATGTTTTTACATCGTGAGGACCATCATGCATGTGTGGTTTCAGGCTTTATTTCATTTATCATCATTGCCTAAATATTTGCCCATGCTGCAGCAGAGTCTTCATTCTTAGCATCATACTGGCGGGCTCCAGCCATCATCTAGGAGCCCCCTGGCACTGGGCCTGCTGGTGAGGGAGTGAGGCGCTGCAAATTCCTTCCCCAAGTCTACGCGTGGGCAGCATGGCCTCAAACATGCACACGTGTATTGTAACCCCTGATGAGGGCCTTCTGGAGGTGATTAATCCCAAGTGAGGATTAAAAAAAAAAAGATTCTAAAAAGAAAAAAAGAGCCAGGTTTCTACTTATGTGAGTGAACACAGTGCAGGTGCCGTTTTGAGGAAGGTGGCAGCATACCTAGTCTTTTAAAGTCAGGCCTCTACTGTGCCCTACTGTGAATGACACCCACTGACCCAAATTCATCCACCTCCTTCCAATGCCTATTCCAACAATGATGATGACAATGGTGGTGATTATAATACCAGCTTACCCTTATTTATTTATTTAGAGGCAGAGTCTTGCTCTGTTGCCCAGGCTGGAGTGCAGTGGCCCCATCTCGACTCACTGCAACCTCTGCCTCTCTGGTTCAAGCGATTCTCCTGCCTCAGCCTCCCGAGTAGCTGGGATTACAGGTGTGCGCGCCACGCCCAGCTAATTTTTGTATTTTTAGTAGACACGGGGTTTCGCCATGTTGGCCAGGCTGGTCTCGAACTCCTGAGCTCAACTGATCCACCAGCTTTGGCCTCTCAAAGTGCTGGGATTACAGGTGTGAGCCACCATGCCTGGCCCCAGCTAACCTTTTTAAAGCACTTTTCCACAGCTAGGCAAAGCTCCAAAAATGTCACATGCATCAACTCATTTGCTCTTTTAAGTACATACCACTATTATTTCTGTTTTACAGATGTAGAAACTGAGGCACAGGGAGGCCAGGTAACTCTTCCCACTGCCAGTGGCCAGGACTGGAGCCCGGGCAGCCAGGCTGCAGAGGCCATGCTTGGAACCATTTTAAAATAACTGCCTCAAAACTCAGACCTAACTTCCCTCCCTGCTCAAAGGTCTTCTCACCTGATGATCATCAAACGCAGTTCCAACTTCTTACTCTGGCACTTAATGCCTTGCCCAACCTGCCTCCAAAGCTCCTTTCCAATTTTCTCCCCACGGACACCTTTCACCTTCCTCCATACACCCCAGCGCCCATGTTCAAAGTCATCACGCCATCCCCAAAACAGGCTACGAATTTGGCCATCACTAACCCTCTCTTTCAACTAAAGAAAGCTGCTCAGCACTGGGGTGTCTGCTCCGCATCATCCAGAGATTTCATGGAAATCCCACGGCTTTTAAGTCAGGCCATTGCAAAATACCTTCCCTTAGACAGAAGACATAGCTGACTGTTTTCCACGTGTGGTAACACGGTAATAGCGAGAAACTTCATTTCATCTTTAGAATTTTGTGTGATTATTTGTTTAATGGCATCTGCCCCACTACGTTTTAGTCTCCTGGAAGGAAAGGTCTATGTCTGTGTCTTGTCTGCTGCCTGGCATGGTGCAGGACACAGAGTAGACCTAACATATATTCCAAAAAGGGGCAGATGTATTTCATGTTACTGTGGAGACCTGAATTAGGATTCATCTGTGGAAATTATGGGGCAGATTATGGCTCAATGTAAAGAAGAATTCCCTGATTACAAAGAGTGGTCCTGAAGTACGGTGGGCTGCTATGCACAGAGGCTGAGGGGAGGTGAGTGCAGCCAGTGTCGGGGAGGACACAGAAGCCTCAAGATCCTTCCGTGAGGGACAGTCTTAGCCTCGGCTGGCCCCCGTAGAGCACCAGGCTCAGGCTGCAGGATGCGCTGTCTCCTGCCAGGCACAGTCATGAGAGGAGTTCTCCTCCTCCCTTCTCAACTAGTGGTGGTTTCTTTTTGCGTCCTGGGGGCTCTGTTCCTTGGCTGTGGGCCACCCTGGGGACTCAGAGCTGGCTCTGGCCACCTCATGGGCACAGGCAATCCTGAGACTCAGGCCACAGTGGCACTACTATGGTCATGGATATTTCGTGATGACCACAAAGGGAAGGGATGGCTCCAGCAACGGAGTCCCCTGTCATTTCCTGTGTGCAAACATTCTGCTTACTCCTTGTCCCTGCTAGCTCCTCTTCATCCTGGAACCCAGAATCACCCAGCTCCTCTTGAATCCAGCAGGGAGGGCACCGGTGGTTGCCCTCTCAGGTCTCTGATGGCTGACAGCCCTGTGCCAACCCTTCCTTAGGAAAGGCGTCTAAGCTGTGGAAGCTGCCTAATGGCGCAGATTCTAAGCCCCATCAGAGAAGTGAAACCATGCAGTGTGGGGAAAAGGGAACTGAAATTGAAAACCCTTGCCTGGAGCGGCCTCCCGTGTAACCCACTGGGGCGGCCCTTCCTTTCCCGCCGAGCCCACTCTTTCTCTGACAGCCCCTGTGCGGTGGACAGCCCAGCGTGGCCACCGCTCTGCAGGGTGTTTCCTCTGTCTTGGGGGAGTGTGCCTGTTACTAGCTGGGCCCCTCACAACAGAGACCGCCTGCTGTGGCCGCTTCTAAAATTCATTTCAAGGCACAGTTTGGCCCAAAGCCCTGAAGCCTCTTTTCAGGAAGAAAGCAAGGAGCCTCCCAATTTCATTTTGTTTTCTTACTGCTTGTTCAAAGAACAATCATATAAGATAAAAATACCATCCCCAGGCAAAGAGAATTTAATTCAAACATTCTTGAGAACAGATTCAACAACCTTTTCCTCACACGCAAAACAAAAACAAACCTGCTTCATTCTTGGTTTTTCCCAGTTACATAAAGAAAGGAAAAATGGATCGAGAGAGGCAGTGTATACAGGAGAGAGAATCTCCACCTGTGCAGTAAACGTGACTGAGAGGCTTGTGACAGCGGTTCACAGGCATTGTCCTGTTCGATGTTCTCAACAAGCCTATGAGCGGATCCTGCAATTATTCCACATCATAGATGAAGAAGATGAAGACACTGAGGCCTGGAAGGGTCTGCAGCGTGTCCAAGGGTGCACACAAAGCCGAGTTTTGAATCCAGCAGCCTTTTCCCATGACCCATGATACTACACTTGATATTTGCAATAACTAGGGTTGAACAAGCTAGAAATCAAACGGCATGTAAATAAATGAAATATATAGATATGAGCTTTGTTTCTTTTCTACCCTTATTCTCTTTTTATATCAAACCCAGGGGCACGTACTTGGGTCTGTCATGACCCACGGCTCCCGACACACTCGCGAGTGGCCCATTCGTGGCCTGTCACCTTCACTCACTCACCCTTACTTAATAAGATCACAAACACCCACAAAACCCCACTCACCCCCAGAACCGGAACTCGGATGAGGACTTTTGTCCATCTGTGGAGTCTTCCCCAACTCATCCTCCTGCCTGCCCTCTCTCAGGGAATCACTGTTCTGAATCCTTGTTTATTGCTCCCTTGACTTCCTTTGTAGATAGCTCTGAGGTTTTAGTAAGTTGTTTATTTTATAAAATGAATACCATGCTGTATGTAATCTTTTGGGATTTTCTTTTTTACTTATATTTACAACTTCATAACTAGGGTTTAGAGTTTCAAACCCAGTCGTGGCCCCCTAGAGAAGAATGGAGGTGGAAGTGGGGTGAGGGGAGACTTCCTGAGGCTACAAGGTGGACATGACCTTTCACCTTGCTTCACACCCCTCCAAGGACATCCTCGTTGCACTCAGAATAAAATCCAGCTCTCACCTTGGTTCCTCAGGCCCGATCAGTGTAGCCCTTGACAGCCTCACTGACCTTTTCTCTCCCTGCGCTTCCCCCTCCTCACCATGCTCAGCACAGGGGTTCTTCTGCTGCCCCTGGAACATTCCCTGTGAGCTCTTGCCATCAAGCCTGGGCTGGCTATCCCAGTCGACCTGCTCTTAAGTTTCATCTTAAACGTCACTGCCTCCGCAGCCTTTCAGGGCCATCCCACCTGAGATAACCCCTCTGTCACAGCGCACTGCTTTGTTTTGGTTACAGCACCCCTGATGTATTTTGTTTATTATCTATCTTCCCCCTTTACAAGAAAAACGTCTTGTCTATGTCAAACTGTATATCTAGTGAGGAGTTTTAAAAGACTGTTCTGCAGACCTGTGGGGGTCTCCAAAACCCTTTCAGGGATTTGTAAGGTCAAAGCATTTTCATACTATTAAGACTTTATTTGCCCTTTTCGCTGTATTGCCACTTACATCTTTGGTGCAAAAGCAACAGTAGATAAAACTGTGGGTGCCTTAGCTGGGATCAAGGTAGTGGCACCAGCTTATACTGGCAGTCACTGCATTTTTTACCATCTCACACTTACAAGGAAAAAAACAACAATTTGTTTCATCCATTAAAGCTGGAAAAAAAGAGAATATTTAAAACGTCCTTAAAAAGCACTACAAATTATTACCTTTATTAAGTTTCAACCCTTGATATGCCTTTTTTATATTCTGTGTGACTCAGTGGGAAACACACACAGAGAACCCGTGGTACACGCTGAAGCACAAGGTTGTCTCAAGGAAATGTGCATCTGAGATTCAACTGTGAGCTGAACCAGCAACTCTTTTTCATGGAACATTATTTTTACATGGAAGAAGTACTGACAGACCAATGATGGCAGAGATAATAAATGCAATGAGCCTGCCACTTCAAGAACTGACAGTGTTTTTGGCCAATGATAAAATTCAAGCAAATTTGGAAAATTGTCAACGTTGGAAAATGTGTCTCCATATTTCCCAATACTTAAGGCATTCCTGATAGGATTGGTGATGATACTAATGAATGTGATTTTTTGATCTTAGATAATGAAATGTGTCGACGCTTAAAAGAGTTACATAACTCACTGAACCAATATTTCTAATTGAATGATGCACGATTTCACACAATCATGAAAGAGTGAATGATCCATTCAAAATTGCAAGATAGACTAATCGATTTCAATGTAACAAGTGAAAAATTATATCAGTCATTGATATAATTTCAGATTTCACAATGCAACTAACTTTTAAAAAACTACTACTTTTCCGGTTTTGGTAGAGTGTCAAAGAATGAATAGCCACAATTTTCTCAAAAGTCTATTAACACACTTTTCCCTTTTCTAACAAAATATCTGGGGTAACCAAAACAACTTAAGAGCATCAGACTGAATACAGAAGCTGGTATAAGAAGCTAGTTGTCTTCTTAGACCAGACCCGAAAAAGATTTGCAAAAATATAAATCAATGTCATTCTTTTCACAAAAATTTTTATAGTTATTTTTCATAGAATTATATTAGGTTAATATGCAATGGTTTTATTATTGATATGTTTAAATAATAAAATCTTTTAAAATGTTTTACTTAAAACATTTAAACTTTATTTCTTTTTAAAGAGACAGGTTTCACTATGTCACCCAGGCTAGAGTATAGTGGTATGATCACAGCTCACTGCAGCCTCGACCTCCTGGCCTCAAACAATTTTTTCACCTCAGCCTCCTAAGTGGCTGGGACTACAGGCATGTGCTACCTAGCACAGCTAATTAAAAAAAATTTTTTTTTGTAGTGATGGGGGTCTTGCTATGTTACCCAGGCTGGTCTTGAACTCCTATCCTCAAGCAATCCTTCTGCCTCCACCTCCCAAAGTGCTGGGACTATAGAGCATGAGCCACTATGCCCAGGCAAAGCATTTAAACATTTATATACAGTTTTAATTTTTAATATGATCAATATCAGTAGATATAACCCCAAATAAACAAAAACTCTCTGGGGTCCTCAATAATTTTTAAGAATGTAAAGGGGATCTTGAGGCTATTTAAATTTAATAATCTTGAGACTTATGAATGTAAAGGCAATCTAGAAAACTAGTGGTCTGAGAATGCTGCTCTAGAGCCTAGGGCATGCTAGGTACACAATAAATGCTGAATGAATATTGTAAAGACACATTCTCTTTAGTATTTGTCTGCCTTCTGAAGCTTCTCTCTTTCAAAACATCTCCAATTAACATCTGGAAAACTGATCAATTAACATCTGGAAAACTGATCAATTAACATCTGGAAAACTGATGTGTTTGTTTTATTTTCTTGTGAGCCATAATGCTTTAACTAGGGCTCATACACGTTTGAGTAGCGCTACTTAGATGAAGACCCAATGGCAAGAGTCTGTAAGCCCCAGAACTCAGAAGTTACCCTCAGAATCACTATAAATGTCTCCAACTATTTTTTATCCCTTCCTTTTTCTTAAGTGCCTACATCAAGATAAAAATTTAAAACTAGTTCGCAATGTATTTAATGGAATTGCTTTTAACTATTGGTATTGCAGCAGTGTTGTTTTTTTTTTTATGTAGAGCATTGTGAATGCAGGGTGATCTAGCTACACCGCATACTAAACAGGAGACTAACTACCATTTAAACAGCAGTTTTTAATAGGAAAGCACAGGCCAACTTTTACAAGTGACTCTCAAGTGTCCTTCTGGAAGACAATAGACGTGGTGGTTATAACAATTTCTGTGGTATAATAGAGAGTCCACAACAGGTTTGTGTCACACTAAACGGAAGCCACATTGCAAGCTGTCTCAAGTTTAAGCAAACACTATGCTTTACAAGATTATTTTTGAATGGGCTGCAATACATAAAATCAACTACAAGCTTTCAGATGAGCTGAATGATGCTACAGAACCTGAACTTGAACTACCTTGTCTTGGTAAGATGTACCTTCTCTCTGTTAGTGTCACACCAATGACAAACTGGTGACAGCCACAGCTCCTGGCTGGCCGCATCCCTGGAACTTCTGGTAAAGTCCACATAAAGCTCATCTTTGTGTGAGGCCCCAGAGAGTTGAGGCCTCACGAGGGCATTGAGTTGTGCCCTCGCAACTGCCTTACCTGAGATTTCTGAAGAAAGGTCTCCCGCTTTCAAAATCCCACATTAGCATCTAAGTGCTATCTTTCAGCTACAGCAGGCAGCTCTTTTTTCTTTTCTTCTCTTTTCTTTATCTCTTTCTCTCTTTCTTTCCTTTCTTTTTCTTTCTTCTTCCTTTTTTTTTTTTTTTAATTTTTTTTGAGACAGGGTCTTGCCTCACTCTGTCACCCAGGCTGCAGTGTAGTGGTGTGATCACAGCTCACTGTAGCCTTGACCATTCAGCCCAAGAGATCCTCCCACCTCAGCCTCCCAAGTAGCTGGGACCATAGGTGTGTGCCTCCAGACCCAGCTAATTTTTAAATTTCCTGTAGAGAGGGGATCTCACCTTGTTGCCCGGGCTGGTCTTGAACTCCTGGGCTCAAGCTATCCTCTTGCCTCAGCCTCCCAAAGTGCTGGGATTATAGGCATGAGCTACTGCACCCAGTCAGGCAGCCTTTACTTCAGATGAGCATAACTAAATCCGTAGGAGAGGGAGTGAGGTGAGAGACAAATCTCAGATCCTGACTATGATACGAATTGTGATTTGTTCTGCATAAGGTGCAAGCACTCAGGCTCAAAGTGGGATTAGAAACATTCCCGCCATCTTCCACAGGAAGACTGGTAAGACACAGTGGCTCAGAAGAACCAAAGATTCAGTATTAGCAGGAAGATTCTAGATAACATTTCCCTGTTTTGCAACACACCTAACCTGAATTTAATACGCCAGGATCAAATAAAAGCATTTTATTTTCAGATCCAAAATATGAAGCCACACAGCCTCGGGCTGAGAGTCAGATTTCACAAGCAGAGCAGGAACAGGCCCCATCTTCCATTAGCTACTCAGTCAAGGAGAACTGAAGCTGCAAATTGGGAGGGAAAAGGGCCACATATTTTCTGGCTCAATTAGGTAAAAGAGGCTTTGGTTTAAAAAAAAAATGAGCTTGCATTCTGAATTGCCAGGCTTAAATTTGATATTTCAAATGTCTCTTGTGTGTATATGTAAGTTACAGCCTGTTTCACCCGGTTTACTGTTGAACAGTGGCATCGTCTGAAAATAGGGAAGTTGTTGAAAAGCTATCAGCAAAAATGCCGCCAACACTTGTATCACAGGAAATCTTCAAAAAGGGTATACAGTAACAAGTACCTGATTCATTTACTCAACAACTACTTAGCAAGATCCCACCATGGGCCCAGTTGGGGGTGGGTGGGCACTGAGAACTAGCAAGACAGACCTAGTGCCTGCCCTTGGGAAGTTTTCAGTCTAGCATGGAAGGGTTAAGTAAATTATTACATAATTAATACAAAAATAAAATGGCCCTTTAATAGCTGATACTGGCCGGGCATGGTGGCTCACACCTGTAATCCCAGCACTTTGGGAGGCTGAGGCAGGTGGATCTCTTGAGGTCAGGAGTTCCAGACCAGCCTGGCCAACATGGTGAAACTTCATCTCTACCAAAAATACAAAAATTAGCCAGGCGTGGTGGCACACGCCTGTAATCCCATTACTCAGGAGGCTGAGGTTTGAGAATCACTTGAACCTGGGAGATGGAGGTTGCAGTGAGCAGAGATCACGCCACTGTACTCCAGCCTGGGCGACAGAGTGAGACTCTGTATATATATATATATATATATATATATAGCTGATACCTTCTCATTTTCATGCCTTTGCAATATGAGGGAACTAGGGCATGGTAGAAAAAGCACTGTTGCATTCTTAGGAGGCATTTACTAGAGTTATGAGGAAAGCCAGCTCCCTGATGGATAATGGACTTAGGCAGTGCTCATCAATGGCTGTGGAATATATTATGTAAAAAGCTGATGTGGGAATTTTATAATTAAATATATTCAGTTAACAACACCTGAATCTATTGATCAATCTCAATAGCATGAAAGGAGAGATATATGGAAGTAAGTAGATACACCACTCATGAAGTAGTCTTGCCAAAACCCAAACCAAATGAACTTAAATCTGATCAAGCCTCTAGATTCAGCTACTAGTTTTCAGGCAATACAGAGGATAGAAGAACATGTTAAATGACACCATGGGGATACAACTGGCAAAATTCCAAACATGGGAAACTGCACAGGGCCAACAACCCAGTTTCTTCAAAAACAACAGAATGGCTAGAGAGGGGGTTGTGAGAGAGATATACATAGACACACACACACACACACACACACACACACACACACACATATACATATCTATGTTTCTATCCACGGTTCCTGGCTCATAACTCCCACGACCTTTGTTACAGTCTTTTGTTACAACATTGGGGCACTTTAGGTCTCAGATGCAGGCCTTAGAAAACAGAATCTCTCTCTGACCTTCTACCTTCTTTTTCCCTGCTCCTTTTTCTCCCCAAGGCAGGACTCTAATCTACCCCCACATTTCTCTTATCTACCTTGTCTGACTGTAGGTTATAAGTTCCCCATTTCTGAAGGGGCCCTGCCTCATCCCAGGGGGAAGGAATGTTGCACAGAGAGACGAAGAAGAATCTGAAGAGACAGGACTTGCTGGGTTCCCCACTCAGTCTATTAGTATTAGATCACACCCTTTTTGTCCAATCACATATCTACCTGGTTGTCCATGCTTCAACATGCCTATCCAATGAAGTCTCCACACAAGCTTTGGGAGAACGGTGTATAGAGAGCCTCCAGATAGCTGAGCATGTGGAGGTTCCTGGAGGGTAGTGTACCCAGAGAGGGCATGGAAGCTCCATTCCCCCTCCCCCATATTTTGCCCTCTGCACTTCTTCATCTGTATCCTTTGTTATATCCTTCAAAATAAGCCAGTAGATGTTGGTACATGTTTCTGAGTTCTGTAAGCTGCTCTAGGAAATTAATCAAACCCAAGGAGGGAGTTGTGGGTTCCCTGAATTACAGCCAGCTGAGGCTTGTGAAGTCATCTTAAGTGGAAGCAGTCTGGTGAGATGGAGCCCTCAACCTGTGGGCCCTCCAGGTAGACAGTGTCAGAACTGAATTGGAGGACACCTGCTGGTGTTTGCTGCAGAACTGATTGCTTGCTTGTTGGCGGGGAGAAATCCCTGTACATCTGGCCACAGAAGTCCTCTGTGTTGATTGTTGTGGAATGAGAGCAGAGGAACAACATTTTGGGGATTTGTTTTGTTTTTCAAGCTCAGGGGAATGGGTAGGGGGGATCCCCTGAGCTGGAAAAAAAACAAGACCCCCAAGATAAATATTAACCAAATGTAAGTGTGGGCCTTGTTTGGATCTAGATTAAACCAATTAATTTTCTTTTAAGTATGAGACAAACATGGAAAACAAGAAAATCTGAGCACTCTATATGTAATAATTAGAGACTTTTTTAAGGTAGTGATAGCAATATTGCAGTTATGTTCTTTAAAAGTGTCTTTATCCTGTTATAGGTATACTATATGAGTATTTATAGATGAAATGACATCCCAAATTAGCTTCAAAAGAATAGCTGGAAAAATAAGCACATGAAAAACTCTCAATATTACTGGCCATCAGGGAAAAATGCAAATCAAAATTAGAATGAGGTAACACTTTGTAGCCACTAGGATGGCTATAATAAAAAAGAGATAATAACAAGTGTTGGTGAGGATGTGGAGAAATTTGAACCCTCATACACTCTAGTACAAATATACAACAGTGTGGCCACTTTGGAAAACAGTTTGGTAATTCCTTAAATGGTTAAACATAGTTATCATGTGTAACTCAGCAACTGCACTCCTAGGCATACACCCAAGAGAAATTAAAGTTAATCTACAGAAAAACACATATAAATGTTCATAGCAGCATCATAAATAGCCAAAATGTGAAAGCAGTCCAACTGTCCATCAAATAATGAATGGATAAGTATGGCATATTCATACAATAAACTACTATGCTGCAATAAAAAGGAATGCCATATTGATACATGCTATAATATGAATGAACCTTGACATCATTATGCTGAGTAAAAGAAGCCAGACACAAGAGACCACATATTATATGATTCCTTATATACAAATGTCCAGAATAGGTAAATTGTAGAAACAGCAAGTAGATCAGGGGTTTCCTGGGGCTGTGGTGTCAGGAACAAGGAGACAGGGGGCAGTGGCAGGGAAAGGGCGGTGATTGCTGAGGGGTCTTGGGTTTCTTTCGGGGTCATGAAAACGTTTTAAAATCAACTGTGGCGACGAACGCACAACTCTGTGACTATACGAAAAGCCAGTGAGTTGTATGCTTTGAAAAACGCATGCTGGGGAGGGTGTGGGCAGGGGTACAGGTGAAATCCATGTGTTGAAAGTTTTTAAATGTGTAGGCTCTATCATCAGACCCCCTGGATCAAATCCTCACTCTCAAAATTATGAGCTGTGTGACCCTGGGCAAGATATTTAACCAGTCTGAACCCTAGTTCCCTCAAATGTAACATGAGGATAGTAATATGGGCGTGCACGAGTTAAATGAAGTTGATATATTTAAGGCACACAGAAGAGTGTCCTGCACATGTAAAATGTTCACTGGACATCAAATTGTTTTTATTTTTTATTTTTGAGATGAAATCTCGCTCTGTTGCCCAGGCTGGAGTGCAGTGGCGCGATCTCCACTCACTGCAACCTCTACCTCCTGGGTTCAAGCGATTCTCCCATCTCAGCCTCCTCAGCAGCTGGGATTAGAGGCGCCCATCACCATACCCAGCTAATTTTTGTATTTTTAGTAGACATGGGGTTTTACCATGTTAGCCAGACTGGTCTCGAACTCCTGACCTCAGGTTATCCACCCACCTCGGCCTCCCAAAGTGCTGGGATTACAGGCATGAGCCACCGCGCCTGGCCGGATGTGAAGTTTTATTACTCTCATCTGCTTGCTTTGGGTCAGCTCCTTCAGGAGTGCCCATTTCTTCAGCATCTCCCTCAGAAACCACGGTCATTAGGAAACCTAGTAGGGGCTCACAAAAGTCTTCCTTTGTTGGCTCTAACCTTTTTAGTTTTTATGATGCTCCTTATCTTCAAAAGGTTCTGTTTTTTGTGACTTAATAAGTTTGTTTTCTCTGTGATTTTAGGCTATAGAAGAAAATGTAGGAGTAGCAGCAAGAGCTAGAAGAAGACCAACTGAGCCACATTCATGGACTCTGTGCTAGAGGGCCTGACTCCTCCTCCCCAGGGCCATACATGCGGGGACAGCAAAGGATAATAAATCCCATGGATTGTCCTTCCAGACCCTTCCCATTGGCGATGCCATTAGAAGACTGGCTCAACCTGGAGGCAGCTGTGTGCTGTTCCTGACATTACCAGACCTGCCCACTGTCCCCTGGATCCCAACATTGCCTTCTGCCTGGGTCCTCACTCTTGCAACCCAACGATGGCCTCCTAAACTAGCAAAGTGCTTTGGCTCCTTGTCAATAACAAAGGCTCTTTTTGAACCTCATCAGTGAAACTATGATAAATATTTTATAAATGGCACTCTGAAAGCAAAGCTCGACACACGCGCACTCACACACACACACAATGGCGTGTTTAAGATGCTCACATGTGCTCTCTGCACAGGGCTGCAGCATTTTCTCCCCTTCAAGTTTGCTTCCAAACTGATTTATTTTTTAATTTTATTTTGTTGTACTATATGTATCAACTGCACAAGGCAATCAGCCAAAGAGAGATTTAAACATATGGACTAAATTTCATGTCTTTGGAGAACACAGTAGAGCAAGACGGCAATATGCTTTTCCACTGTTCTCTGGGGCTGCCACTTGGCTGGGGAGGGGCCGTGTTACACCTGGGCCGAATCATCCTGGGGCTCCTGCTCAAAGCGCCACCCTCCTGTCTGCAACAATGGCCTGTGCAAATATGCAAAAGCCCCTTTGAAAGCTCTGCGGTGCTGCTTAGCGGTGCTCTTTGCACCTTGAGCAATGCTCACTCACATGCAAGACCTGCCCATGGACACACCAGGATTAGCAAAGCAATCCGGAGTCCTGAATTTCTGTGGGTGCCTGCATTTGCTATGCTACAAGAGTAAGAGGTTGTCATTTATAGTGAAAAATAAAGGTGGTGTTAATTAAATTTATTTTCCTAAGCGTCAACGTCTCCAGACCTCTATTCCTTTTGTAAGGTGAGCAGGTCTGTCCTACAAAAGAATGAGCCAGAAATAAACTTCATTTTTCTGTGATAATATCCAGAATTCACACATTTTTAAGCATTTGCCAAAATAAGTAGTGATTTTACAATTGACTTGCATAAGCTCTTTGTATTCCCCTGGTTTGGAAATTGAAATAGAACTGGGTACTGTATTACTTTGCCCAGATACAACATTGACACTGATGTTTTACAACCAAAACGCTACCACCTCTAGGTACATAGTGTAACCTGACATACACTGTGTATAACTTGCCTTCTTCCCTGTCAAATGTATCCATTTCCAGGTCAAGTTAAAGAGAGTAAAAGTTTAAAGACAAAATCACAAATCAGCAGCTCCACCATAATGCCAAATTGCCAGGACCATTAAAGGTTTGTGACTGCACACTGGAGGCAAAGGTCAGGATAAGGTAGGGCACACACTGTACATTGTAACATGGCTCTTTCTCTTACTTCCAGAAAGCTTATCAGATGGAAGGATCACAACGGTGACAGTGAAAGTTCTACAGGTACGCTTTTTGTACACTCCATTTTAGATACAGCTAGGTGTGTCTACTGTGTGAGCTCCAGGACTAAGCATTCGTAACAGGTTCCTCTGTGCATGCCTGACTGTGTCTGTGTGACCACAGCAGCTACAGAGCAGTGATTTGGCAGTGTGAGTGCAGGAGCTCCCTAGGCCAAGCTGTTCAGGATTACAAAGCAAGGACGGCAAGGACTGGGACAGGTGGGGAGGGAGCTGGAAGACAGGCAGGTGCTGCAGCAGAAAGGCTGCAGGCTTTATGATCAGACGTGCCTTAGCTGGAAGCTTGGCTCTGCCGCTTTCCAGCTTTGTAAGTAGGGGAGTGAATTCGCTTCTCCTAGCCCTGTGTGTCTCACATGAGAAACAGGAACTGTCTACATTTCCGAGTTGCTGAGGAGATGGAAAGTGAACAGCAGGTGAACAGTAGGGGAAACGGTGGTTCTAAAAGGTGGGTGCAGAAGCCATGGAGGTCCATGCCAGGTACCCAGACCTACCCACTCCCTCATGGACACTTGCCACTCGCAAGAGACTGGGAGGCCTGGAAACCAGAAGGGTCCTGGACAGGCTGACTGCTTATCTCAAGGGATAGCTCAAGCTGAAGGCACTGAGTGGCCTGATTTATTTTTGTAATGAAGTAACTCAGGTTTTTCAATCTAAATTCATTATGTTACTCTATGGAGCCACTAACATCACTTGTGATATTAGGAAGGGCTGTCATAGTGAGGATGGAAAGGAGAAGGAGGTAAAGAATAAGGGGGAGGTAGCTACTTCAGCTGTGCTGTGTATTTTGTTTCATCTTGGTATTTTTTTAATATTTAAAATAATCTGGTAAAGTGAACGCTTTAAAAAATATTTATTGCCTTTGTTTTAATTATGTAATTAAGTTTATATAATTACTTTTTAATAAACTTTTTATTTTAGAAGCTTTAGATTTACAGAAAAATTGGAAAGATACTGCAGAGTCCCCATATTTCCCCCACTGAGGTTCCCCTGATATTAACATCACACATTAGCCTGGTACACGAGTATGTTAGTCAGAAGGAGTGAACCAACGTCACTACATTATTTTCACCAGCATCCACGCTTTATTCAGATTCCCTCACTTTTCCCCTGCTGTCCTCTTCCTGTCCAGGATCCCACACTGCATTTAGTTGTCATGCCTCCTCAGGCTCTCTTGGCTGTGACACCTTCTCAGACTTCCCTTGGTTTGGGTGGCATTGACTATTTTGAGGAGCATTGGTCAGGAATGTTGCATAATGGCCCTCTATTGACATGTGTCTTATTTTTTCCCCTTGTGATTAGACCGGGGTTATGGGATTCTTTTTTGTGGAAGATCGCAGAGGTTGAGTACCATTCTCATCACACCAGAGCTAGGGGACATACTGTCAGCCTGGCTTCACTCTTGACGTTGGCCTTGGTCACGTGGTGGAAGCAGTGGTCGTCAGCTTCCTCCACTGTGAAGTTACTTTCTTTCCTCCCTTTCCAACCCGTTCTCTCTGGAAGGAAGCCTTTATGTACAGCCCACACTAAAGCGTGGGGAGTTATGTTCCACCTTGTTGGGGGAAGAGTATGAATTACTTGGAATTCCTGTGCATGGGAGATTTCTCTCTTCATTCATTCATTCATTCATTCATTCATCCATCCCGCATTCATTTATATTGGTATAATCGGATGGATTTTTATTTTATACTTTGTGTTATAATCCAGCACTCTATTGTTTATTTTGCTTCTTACGTGTTCCAGTCTGGCTGTTGGAACTCTTTCAGTTGGCTCCTGTTCCCCTTTGACATTCCCCCATTCCCCAATATTGTGGCCTTTTTGGAGCACTTTCTTATTTTCTGGCATTATGAGATATTTGTATTATATTATTACTGCATTAACTATTGGCTTATATATTTCCTGGCCCAGTCCTAGAATCAATCACTTCTCCAAGAAGACTTGTAGACTTGCTTTTTAAGCTGTTAGCAGCTTTCAGTCCAGGGCTGTTTGTTCGCCACCATTGAAGTAATACCCTTCTGAGTATCATACCCAAAGTTCATCCTCCCGCGGCTGCTGGGAGCACAAACTATTCCCTGATGCACATGAGCTCAGAGATTTTTCTGCCTGTCCTTTCTGGAGTTTTTTCCGCAGTTGCCACGTGAGCCCCTATGCTCACCCATATATCGATCAGTGCCCAGCCGAGGACCAGGGGATCCTCTCCGGAAATCCAGAGCCCTCTCTCTGGGCAGCTCTTGCCTGTCTGGCACTCTGCCTTGAGAATTACAGATGCTTCCGCGTCCCAGATTCCTATCTCTGTCTTGTGAATTGAGAGACTCCTGGGCTTTGTGTGGGGTCCCCTCCCCGTGCTGTGGCCTAGGAAGCCCCCCGGGGAAGTGAGCGGGGGAAGCCGCAGGGCTCACCTCCATCGCTGTCCCTCTCAGCGACCACCGTCCTGGACTACTCTATGTCCAATGTCTGAAAACCCTTGTTGCACTTATTTTGCCTAGTTTTTAGTTGTTTAAGATGGGAAGGTAAATCCAGTCCTTGTGACTCTATCTTGGCCTGAGTAGAACTTCTAATTGACTCCAACATTTACTACACAAAGGGTCCCATTTAGCAATGAGACTGACTTTCCTGGGATGCTAAGTAGTCTCATCACAGTCAGTGACCCACAGTGAATCTCCTGACCAAGGGAGGGATGTGGCTTGGACCATGCTGCGTTGTACAGCGGCGCTCATCTGTCTCTATCACATATGAGGTTGCTGGTGGTGCAAAATGGGAATGCATTAGACTGAGAGGCTCTGAAAGCCAAAGGCCTTCCTACTTGCTCTCCAGGACCATCAGAAGGTGGCTGCAGGGAGGGCTGCTGGGCAGGCCCAACCACTCATCTCAGGAGACAAGGGTCTGCGTTGGCCAGCAGCCACCACGGGTTTTAAATGAAAATGGCCCATAGAAATGATATGCGTGGCAGCACAAGTAGCCTCAAGAGCCCAGGAGAACGATTAGTTTCACAGGAGATCCCCCTCATCCTGGGCAAGCTAAGAAGTGCAGGTTAATATGAGCACTCACCAAGAGCTTGAAAACCCACTTGGCTAACAAGGGTGGAAGGTGGAGAATAGGGCTGGGAATGCCCCCGGGCCTCTGCTCAGTATCTTTCCTTCAGCTCCACTACATCAGAATCTCACACACACACACGCGCGCGCGCACACACACACACACAACCCCACCCCCCCCAACATGCACGTGCATGCGCACACACACACACACACACACACACACCCTCTTGGAACATCAACAGGGGACCATAATTTTCTTCTTGGTCTCAATGTCATTGTCTTCCGATCTTAAGAAACTTTCCTTCTAAAACAGTGAGGTAGGCTTTAAAGATGTGCAAACCATTTTTTTTTTAAATCCAGGAACCTTACACTAAAGGAAAGAATACTTTCCAAAGGTGAGTGCAAAGAAAATTTTCTTCAAGCAGCTCACTGTGTACATCAGAGTTCCTCCAACTGGCAGATTTACCTGTAGTTTGCAGTAAGAACCACAAAGCCATCACCAAGTGAGTTAATGAGACCACATTCTCTGTCCTCCTTCAACCAGCTGTGAGGGCAGGTGCAGCTGGGATGGAAAAGGTGCCAAGGAGAGGCACTGCCCTCCTCTGCTCGGGCCCACCTGCCAGGCCTCCACTGTCCTGAGGGTAAGGTCCAGTCTCAGCATCTATGGCCTCAACCCCACCTTCAGTCTCATTCCACACCTCCCACCAACCACACCTTCTGGCCCACCCAAAGCAACAAAGCCCTTCGAGAAATGAAAATGTTTCTCCTCATTAAAAAAGACTTCTAATTAGCGAAGCAACCATAAATGACCGTGGAACTCCTTGTTTCAGACATGGAGCTTCTTCAAGACCTGTTTACTGTTGTTCACGACAAGGGAGGAAGTGTCCCATTAAGACAGATGAGGGCCAGCAACCCTGGCTTTAGAGTTAATTAATATATTCATCTTTAAGAAGGGAAAGGGTCTCTGATTTGGGAAGCTGAGGCAGGATGATCACTTGAGGCTAGGATTTCAAGACCAGCCTGGGCAACATAGTGAGGTCCCGTCTCTACAAAAAATAATTTAAAAATTAGCTGGGTGTGGTGGTGTATGCCTGTAGTCCCAGCTACTCAGGAGGCTGAGGTGGGAGGATGGCTTGAGCCCAGGAGGTCACAGCTACAGTGAGCTATGATAGTGCCACTGTACTCCAGCCTGGGCAAAAGAGCAAAACCCTGTCTCTAAAAACCATAAAGTGAGGGAAGGGTGTGTGGGGGTGTAGAAGGATTTGGGGGGATTGTCATGAGCTCAGCTTCAGCAGGAAGCCTGCTTTGAGTGGTTTGACCAGAGGCTTTACACTTGGTTGCCACTTACAGATCTCTGCTGGATGAAACTGAAGTAGTTTCCATGACTGAGCCCCCTTTTCACCTGATTCCCTTCAGGACACCTGCCTGGGGCCATAGCTGTGGACTCCCACAGCCTAGGGGACCACAGGACAAACTGGAGCTCACTGATCATGTAGGACTTCCTGAGTAATGTGTGAGCTGGCCAGTGACAGGTCCCCTTGGATCTCACATCCTGATAAGAGAGTGAAATGATGCTAAAACAAAGAAAAAAGAAAAATCCATCCAATGCAAGATTTAGGTTCAACCCATAAGGAAATCCCATCTCCCGGGCAAATCTAAGGAATGAAAATTTCTCACAAAATTAAGGGGCTATTTTCTACAATAACTGATCATTACCTCCAGGGCAATGTTGTACAAAGCTCTGCTACCCGGCCCTTCTACCACCCAGACAGTTCACTGTTCTACAACCACACCATGACTTTGAGGCCCACATGTTTTCATCCTACCCACAGTAGCCCCCTCTGACCTGTTCCACCTGGGGGAATTCTTGCTTATTCTCCAAGGTTCAATTCCAATGGCACCTTCCCTGTGAGGCAGTCCCTAAGATTCCATGATATTTGCCACAGCCATAAGGAATTAGTAGCCAAGCCTTTCTTCCCCGGGCTCCCACGGCGGCACCCCGCTGCTTGTTCAACTCCGGCCTTCTGTTTTGGACTGTGAGGCCCCGATGGCAGGGCCTGAGATTCATCCTGTCTGGGGCCCCGAGGCTACCCAGGGACAAGATGGGGCTCTGTGAGATGTGCGCCGGGGATGGACACGTGGACGGAAGGACGTGGCTGCTCCACACTGGCAGTGTAGGGCTTCAGGATTTTCAAAGTAGACTGGCATGTGTGCTCAGATTTGCCCTTCCCCTCCTGGGGAGGCAGAAAAGGTATTATTCATGCTCCACTCACAAGGATACTAGTGTTGGAAAATGTGAAATGAGAGGGAGCCTGATGCTGCCCGGAGTCCTAAACTAGACCCATACAGACTTGAGCTCTAGTTTTGGCTTTCCTCCAGAGTATTCTGGGTGACTGTGAGCAAGTCTGTGGGCCTGGGCTGTAAGGAATTATCTACAATATCTCTGATCCAGTTGCAACCGTCTACGCCTCCCCTTAGGCCACGTGTTCCTAAGTGGGGAAGCCTGAACTAGCACCAAGGTTTTCAGATGCTTAGCGGCTTGTGAAAGGCCCTGGTACCACTTTATTCTCAGGTGCTGAATCTGTTTTTCAAATCCATGTAATATTGGAATAATGGTTGGTCCTCAACTGGTAACGAGGAGTCGTTTTTATGAGTGAAACCCTCATTGCCAGCTCGGCTTGGGGTAGGTCCATGCTGCTAACTCCAGACAGGGATCAACAGGAAACTGCACAGACACATTCATTCCTTTCGGCAAATATGGCAACAAGATGATGATATCCAACAGGTCTCTAATAAAAGAATGCAGGAAAAGCACATATGGAAGAATAGAAGTGAGTGAGAGCAAGCAAGTGCTTACAGGTTCTGTGCTGATCGTGCCTCTGCTAAAACAAAAACAAAACATTTTGGTTCATCAAGGCGCGCTGGAGAAAGCTGAGCTGCTGCTGCTCAGACTCTATCACAGCTCCGCTGACTGTGACATGGAAACAACAGGAGCCCCATCAACGGATGGAAAGCTCGAAATTTCTCAGACCACATCAAAGTCTCACAAAGCCTTGTCTGAATGCTGTTCTGAGTGTTTCATTCAGCAATATTTGGCAAATCTCAAGGCTGGAGATGTAGCAATAGGATTAACAGAAGGAGGAGTTGCTGAATGCATTTCTCAGTCCATACACAAGGAGCAACAACACAGAAAGTTAAAACATGGCCAGTGATTCGCAGCTGGCTTGCTTGGGGTAGCAGCTGAAGGCCTCCTTCAAAAGCTAAATATGGTCTTCCTTGTAGGAAACCCAACAGTCGATGTAGCCACGAGTTTAAAAGAACCTCCCTGGGCTACTGTCAGGACTCCCAGGCAGGGTAAGTAGCACCTACCAGCCAGGCCCTGTGAGCCTCCAGTCCATAAGAAGTCAGCAATGCTGCCATGGAATGGGAAGGGGCCCTAGAGTAATGGGGACAGCACTGGCCAACTTTAAGATTAGAACTACTGACCACGAGCATACTATGTGGGAGAATCATGATGGTGATCAAGACTCAGCCCCTGCCCTCAGAGAGCTGTCGTCTAACACAGGAGTCCCCCACCCCCGGGCTGTGGACCAGTACCCGTTTGTGTCCGGCTAGGAAGCAGGCTGCGTGGCAGGAAGTGAGGGTTGGGTGAGTGAGCATAACCACCTGAGTTCTGCCTGTTGTCACATCAGCGGCAGTATTAGATTCTCATAGGAGTGAGAACCCTATTGTCAACTGCGCAGGCGAGGGATCTAGCTCGTGTGCTCCTTATGAGAATCTGATGCCTGATGATCTGAGGTGGAGCAGTTTCATCCTGAAACCATCCCCACCCACCCCATCCATGGAAAAATGGTCTTCCACAAAACTGGTCCCTGCTGCCAAAAACGTTGGGGACTGCTTCTCTAACAGATGGAGTAAAACAAATACGTCACTGCTGGACACAGAGGACTAAGATAATGATCACCAATGAGGAGAAAATGGCAAAGTGAGATTGAGGTTCAGAGGAGGCAGCGAGCGCAGGCAACTGGAAAAGAAGGGGTGGCTTTGTGTGTGCGGTTGCACTGGAGATGGGCAAGGAAAGATGGGCATAAGCTCAAAAAGTGGAGAATGGGGAGGCACAGGGGCGCGAGCTGAGGGATGGGTGCATGGAGGTGTTCAAGAAATGGGAACATTCCAAATGGCTCGAGCAGAGACTATGCAAATAGGCAAACAAAAGGAAATAACGTTGGGAATATGATGGGACCAAAAGGGCAGTGAGCCACAGGCGAGGCCCCTGGGTTTCAGTGGGGAGAATGCGGAAGCACTGTGCCCTCTTTAGCGGCCAGGTGTCAAGGCTGCCATCGAGGGGGCTGGCTGCACAGCAAATTCAGGGTGAATCGAGGTAAGGAGGCAGGCACAGGAAACCAGTTACTGGCAGTTACTGAGTGCCTCTTCAGACTCTCAACCCACCTGTGTGAAGCGCCATGATCTGTGGCTTCAGCACACCGCAATCGCTCTTCATGGCGCATGCAACTCATTTCGCATGGCCTCCACGCTGCCACTTAGCAGAGGAATTTTGCCAGCAGCTCACTCTGCTTTTCCTCTGAGCATGAAGTCGAGAAGAAACATGGGGATTTTCTAATATTTCGCTACCTGGGACTATTAAAAAACGGCAATTTCATGATTCAAACTATATTTTCTATTTACTTTATGGCTTATTTGGTCAGATTGTAACTTGGACCAACTTTTACAACTATTCATGGTACTGCCACAATTTTGGCCATTTCTCCATCTTGAATGACCAAATGTAGCATTTCCGTAACAAAGCACTGTTATTTTAATTCATTCTGGAAAAACCTGATAGGCTTAGAGAGATGGCTGTGTTTTATATTAATAATAATAATTTTGAGAACTATAATAATGACAGCCCAGACAGCACATCAACATGTACACAAGCATGCCACATGTATTACCTCATTTATGCCTCACAACCACCCTGAAGCAAGTTCTATTATCATCTGCATTTACAAATGAGGAAACTATTTAACAGAATTCCGTTAACAGACAACTACCAAAGGCCAGAGTTCAGTGCCTCTGCAGTGCAAATAAGTTCGAATCTTCAGATGTTCCTTATTATATTTCCTATTTGTATTTTCCTTTTGGGGCTGCTTTTATAAAATCATGACTCTTGTAGATTCACAATCCACAGGCACAGTAGAAGCTTAATTATTACCTCTTGCGTATGTCTTGAGTTCTAGGATTTACGCATTATTTTCACTTTTTTTGGACGTCAATGAACCACTTTGAACTGATCCAACCATTGTTGCAAAGGGAAATCTAGCATATGTATATATTGACACGTGAATGAGACAAAACATAGTTGCAGAGAATTATACTCTTTTACTTAAATGTCAGCTGAAAAGTGACCAAGACAGTCCTTGTAGCATATGGGCAATATACTTTATCATTACTCTGAAGTGAGTGTTTATGTTCCCTCCAAATTCATGTTAAAATCCTAACCCCCAAGATGATGGTCTGAGGAGGTGGGGCCTTTGGGAAGTGATTAGGTCAGGAGGGCAGAGCCCTTATGAAGGGATTGGTGTCTTTATAAAGGGGCCCTGGAGAGCTCCCTTGCCCCTGTGACATGTAAAGATGCAGCAAGAAGACAACCATCTATGAGCCAAGAGGTGGGCCCTCACAGACACCAAATCTGCTGGTGCCTTGACCTTGGCCTTCCCAGCTTCCAGAACTGTGAGGAATAAGTTTCTGTTGTCCCAGTCTATGGTGGTTTGTTACAGCAGCCAGCATGGACTAAGACCATCATCATGAAAACTAAGCTGACCAGCGTTGGCATCTGACCCCATCTCCACTGCTGTAGGAAGGAGAACCCAGCATTATGTTTCTAAAGCTCACTAAAGGGAGGAGGCGGCAGAGGAAGGAGGAAGAGGGAGGAAGGAGCTCAGAGAGGGAGGAGAAACAGCTAGATCGGGACAGTTTAGGAGGCACAAGCCGGGAAGGCAAGAGGTTGGAGGATCCTAAGAGAAGGAGAAGCCAGGAACCCAGGCCTGCACAGCCTTTTCCAAGGGTGGCAGGGCCTCTGTGGGAGAGCTCTGGGATACAGGACGGACTGAACAGCAAGAGCTGGAGCTTCTGGGGCCCTAGTGAAAAGCCCCTGTGTCCACCTTTGCACGGAAGCAGAGGAGCTGTCTGCCTTGAAGAGACTCTCAGGCCAAGATGGTAGGTTGAGAGGGCGTTTTCCCAAATGTTCCCAAGGCCTTCCCCAAATCTGGTCTGTGTGTGGGTAGAGGGAGGAAGAGGTAGTGTGAAGTAGATGAAATCAAATTTAGACAAATAGAAGGTGGCAACATTTCTCACACCCAGAGTTGTGGGATAAAATGTATATCTGCTATAAAGTGTTACTAAGAATACAATGGGATAGCTGCAAAAATCACAATTGATCTTATATTTCATATTCCTCTAAAATTACCAAGCTGCCAGCAGACCCACTAGTTAGCCCACAGAGACCACTAGGGACCCACAAACCTTATTTTCTAAAATAATGTACTGGGTCTTAAGCAACAGGTGGGCTGGGCTTTTCAGCACCCAGCGGAGAGTAAGCAGACAGTCAGAAGGCACTGAACAGCGTGGATTGTGCTTGGTTCCAGTTGTTAAGTTGGTGACTTCAGAATCACAACAGTGTGAAAATCTCCCATCCCTGTGGCTACCAGAGGTTCATCACTCTTTGGAACCAAAATGTATAATCCACAGGCTTGGCAGCTATATTTGCTTTTGACAAATGTTTCAATTTTAAAAAAAGTAATTTGTTTCCATTAAAAGTTTTACCTATGGAAGTTTTTGAGCTTGAAAATTTCAGACCTAGTTTTACTTTGAAGCAGAAGGATCCCGTAACACTGAAAAGCCGATATCCACAAAACCAAAGCAGGGCCTGTGGGAGTTCCACCAAAGTCCCTTCATATGAAATTTCTTGGTGTCCCCAAGGGTGAACACAGTGACATCCCAGGGGGTACAGGAAAGATAAGTCCCCCCAAGACCCTGTCCAGGAGCCCTCCAGCCTGGGCCTCCCTCCTCATTCTCTTAGTCCTAAATGTTTGGGGGCATGAAAGGGAAAGGAAAACCAAAATAAAATCCTAGTTAGCTATAAAACCCAAGTAACCAGAATCCTTGGATGAGTATTATTTTGCTGCCTTATTTCATTTTTAGGAAACGTGAGATGAGTGTTTTTACAAAATAAAACAAAAACTCCCCAACTATGACTTAGGGACAAGTTCCAATCTAGCCTGGAGCTCTTATACCTTTTAAAGTTTACAGTAAGAACTGACCTACACTAATCCATTAAATTAGTGAATTGACTTTCCACCAAATTCTAGAAACATTATGGATTACAACCCATTAGAAAAACATTTTAATTATCCAAGAAAAATTAAAGTTATATTTTATCTGTTCTAAACAGGGCCAAAAGTACACATATCACTTACAGAAGGATAAGAAGAATAGAAAGTAAAAGTTAAAAGTTCACTTTTTTAAACACTGAAGAAAAATGCTACTAGAAATCTGGTTGAGCATATATAGTTTGCTAAAGGAACACTTTGAAATACTTCGCTTTCTGGTATCCTAGTTAAAAAGCACCAAGCAATGTCTAACAGGGAGAAAAATACTAAAATGTGTTTTTCCCTTGCTGTTGCTCATTTGCTTACTCTGAATGAAATATTTAAAAAAGATACATATCATTGGCTGTCAAAGTCCTAGCTTTTGGGACACCTTCTATAAGCTACACCAAAGTTTCCATCTGGTTGGGAAAGGGAGGAATGTCAAGAACAGCAGTACAATAAAGCAGAAGTCAGAGAAAGGCTTGACAAAGTTAAAAAATAGCCAACATAAATTTGAAAATCATGAGAACACATCTGTAAGTATGCTGCTGTATTTTGTATCTGACAAGCCACCCATCATTTTCTACCTATGTTATTGCTGCCGAGATCTATTTTAATATTTACCGTATATGTTAATAAAAATGAGTAATGAAAAGCATCACGACTCAACCACATGCCACGAGCAGCCCATTAAAGCACAAATAACCTACTAATAAAAAGTTCTTATTAGAATACTGAGAATTCCAATTAGCCTTTTTATTTACTAACATTATCTTAGAGTCGACATAAAGTTAACTGCTTCCTGATTTTAATTTAGTTCATTCTAATGACTATTTCTCTGCATTGCTACTGTTCGTTTAGGGATGAAGATGGGGATAATGAAAAACAAAAGTCCTGCCAGCACTAACACTGTCAAGCCTTGATATTGGCACTTAAAACAACTGTTTGTGAGAGAGAACCTGGTATCTGGCTTCTGACGTTTCAGTACAATCTATTCTGCGCCTGGATGATGTCACTGTTGTGTGTGAGTCCTTGGTCCCAATAATAGCCCAGCACAGAGGCGCCAGGAAATGCTTTCACGTTCACATTCATATGGACATAACAGGACCCTGAACTGCATGCTTCCCCCAATGACACACGCCCCACGCCTCCAGACTGTGCACAGACAAGGTGCAGTGGCAGCCCAGAGGGAGAGGTGATTTACGGTGGCTCAGGCAGACACCACTAACACCGGCTTTTCATGTGTTTGACCAACAGCCTTTGCAGAGATGTGCACACGGGGCCCTAACTCTCCGGGGGCTGCTAGGGGCAGAGCCCGGTAATCCCGACGACTTAGCGGATCCTGTGCCTCCCAAGGCTGGCGCCCACGGTGACTGCACACTTGTCACAGACTGGCAGGCCATTTGTCTGCTGCAGCCCACCAAATCCCATAGATCCTTCTGGACCCTTTGCAGCAGGCTTTTCATACCTTGAGTCTTATTTAATGTTCACATGAAAAAGCAACTGCTGCTTGCTGTGCTCATAAAAGTCTTGTTAGAAATTAACACCTTGCGCGAATAAAAACATCAAGTAAAGTATTTATCTGAGGTCGTTTGGAAAAAATAGTGGGTAAGGTTTTACAACAATAGGTGCTGTAGTGACAGAGGAGTGCTCCCCCAAACGACAGGACTCTCTGAACTGCTGGTGTGCAGCAGAGCGCGGCCCACGTGTGCAACCTCATTCCATTAGGAAAGGTAATAAAGAGGTCAAGGATCCTGATTTCTGTCTCCAAAGCCAGGTGTCTCTCAAACGTGTGTCACTGATCACAGGTGGAGGTGAAGCAGTGAGAGTAATGAAAAGCAGTTGTGGCCACGCCTGTAATCCCAGCACTTTGGGAGGCCGAGGCGGGTGCATCACAAAGTCCGGAGTTCGAGACCAGCCTGGCCAACATGGTGAAACCCCGTCTCTACTAAAAATACAAAAATCAGCTGGACATGGTGGTGCGCACCTGTATTCCCAGCTACTTGGGAGGCTGAGGCAGGAGAACCCGGGAGGTGGAGGTCGCAGTGAGCTGAGACTGTGCCATTGCACTCCAGCCTGGGTGACAGCGCAAGACTTCATCTCAAAAAAAAAAAAGAAATTGCCACTGCTACTGAGATATATATATTTTTAAAAGCTCCTCAGTTTATAACTCCCAAAGTTAACTCAATGAAACAAGCATATTCTTCCAATTCCCCATCATATTTTTGACGTTCAATAAGACTAAAACAAAAAAAGATACATAGTACCACAGTAAGCTGTCATCTGGATGAATCAAGCCTTACATTTTACTAATAAGGAAAACTAAATGTACAATTGAGTGAATGCATGTATTTATGTCTCCGTGACTTGTAGCCGTGGCATTTTCAATGAAAAATTTAGATGCAGTCATCCTAGGCCCTCTCCAGTCATGAGAAGGCAGCATGTACAATGCCTGGTGACTTCTGCTAATAGTCTAAAACACATTATATAAAAGCATAGAGCGTTCGGGGACTGGAGGTCAGTCGATATAGTTAGAGTGAAAGATGGCACAGGGAAGGTTTGGGAGCCACACTATAGGTGGTTGGGAGTGTCCCCTGAGTTCCTAAACTCCAGAGTTCTCAAATTCTCACCCATGATAGTCACCTGAGAGCTTTAAAAGATCTCGGTGCAAGGCCCCAGTCCAGACCTGGAAACTGGGAATTGGCAGTTTTTGAAGCCTTCCAGATAATTCAACTGTGCTGCCAAATTTGAGACCCAGTACTAGGCATAAGTGCTTTTCAAACTTTAATGTATGAAATCTCGACCAGCCTGGCCAGCATGGTGAAACCTCATCTCTACTAAAAATACAAAAACTTAGCCAGGCATGGTGGTGTGTGCCTGTAGTCCCAGTTACTTGGGAGGCTGAGGCAGGAGAATTGCTTGAACCCAGCAGGCGGAGGTTGCAGTGAGCCGAGATCGCGCCACTGCACTCCAGCCTGGACGACAGAGTGAGACGCCACCTCAAAAAAAAAAAAAAATCTCCTGTGATCCTGTTAAGATCCAGACCCTGATTCTGCAGGTCTGGGGTGGGGCCTGAGAGGCTGCATTTTAGCAAGACCCCAGCTGATGTTGATACTGCTGGTCTATGGACAAGTTTGAGTTGCAAAACTGTAGAGAAAGGGAAACCTCCAAACATTTCTGTGTGAGGAAATGATGTAACCAAAGCTGAACTGTGCAAAGAGGAATCAAGCATCCCTTAGCAGAAGTAGACTTAAAGGGGAAGGAATGAGGAAGGAGACCATTAAAGAAGTTAATGAGAGAGAACAAGAGAAGGGCTTGAGAAGTCTGAATGATTCCTGGTAGCAGGCTCCCTGTGGAGAAGTAACCCTATCACATTCAATGCCACTCTACAGGGGGCTGTTGCTATGGGGTGGGCTTGTAAAAGGCCCTACCAGGATCCCAAAGACCCTGTGAACTGTAGTCTACTTTGATATACAGCCCTTCCCAGCAGTCTGAGTTACCTGCACAGCACAGTGCCTTCCCTCTGCTTCCAGGCACATGGGGGAATTGCCTGTGCCCGCCCCTTAGCAGTTGGCAGGACACGCAGGTGGTGTGGCTTGGTTCCCTGCAGCCCAGCAGCCCCAGGAACAACCGAGAGAGAAGATCCCCCACAGACCAGCTCTGTGTGTGAGAATGATGCAGAGGGCACCCCACCCACACATGGCCAGAGTGAGAAACACACTTCTGTTGGGTGAGTTCACAGAGATTCTCAGGTGATTTGTTACTGCAACACAAGCCTGGGCGATCCTGACTGATACACTAATCAGCCGGACCCACACCCTGTGGGCCAGGTCCAGGAGCCTGGCAGAGGTGATATGAGGCCTGGTGAGCCTGCTGGAGAACTGCCCAGATTCCATTTATATGGGGGACATTGCTTGAAGATCTTGATCCTAATAACTCACCTAACCTCCAGGACCACTGGTGAAACTTGGCAAGACCTCACATGTTAGAAGGGTTGCCTCAGCTCCGGAAGCTTTCCTTGTGATATGGTTTGGATACTTGTCCCTGCCCAAATCTCATGCTGAGTTATAATCCCCAATGCTGGAGGTGGGGCCTGGTGGGAGGTGTTTGGATCCTAGGGGTGGATCCGTCATGGCGCAGTGAGTTCTCATGAATTCTGGTGCGTGTGGCACCTCCCTCCCCCTACTCTCTCTCACTTGCTCCTGCTTTCGCCATGTGACGTGCCTGCAGCCCCTCGGCCTTCCACCATGATTGTGAGCTTCCCGAGGCCTCCCTAGAAGCTGAGCATATGCCAGCATGATACTTCCTGTACAGCCTGCAGAACTAACAGCCAACTAAACCTCTGTCTTTATAAATTATTTAGTCTCAGGTATTTCTTTATAGCAGTGCAAGAAGAGTCTAATAAACCTTGTGAGTAAGATATTTCCTAAATCAGTGCTGCTGGCTGTGGTGCTTTATCTTTTCTTCCCTTGTCCTCCCATATCACAGCGAGCGAGAATCAGACATCATTATTTGGCTTTCACTTCTGCTGTCTACTTCAACCCATGCTGCATTTTCTACATTGAGTTCTAACTAAAGAGCATGACACAATCTGCTGCGAAGAAAATTGAAATAATATTGGATTTTTTTTTAAATTAAAAAAACAAGTGTTGCTTTTAAGTTGAGGATTTAGCTTGATATTCTTTTCAGACCTCTCACTTCATGCCCAACCAAGGAGAGTTCACAGGGCTCTAATGCCACTCAGCTAAACTTTACCCTGAAATGAGATATTTGAAGTCTGCAAATGAATGCAAAACAGGTTCTGTGTGAACAAGGTATTAAAACAATGACCTGAAACTACTTCAAAGGTGAATCATCAATTTTAGTTATATCTCATGATTTTGCCTTTGTTTGTTGAAAGCCATACTTATTTCTCAAGTCAATAATGAGGAATGTCCTAGAAAAATATTCTTCTTGCATCAGACAGGGTCAGGAAGTGGAAAGAGTATTGCATTGGATACTCATTATTTTTAAATTGAATTAATGAAAAAATTAGAGCCCAATTTTTTCTTTGTAAAATGAAGGAGTTAGAAGTCTTTCATCTCCAAAGTTTTATGCAATGATGGCTTAAGATTCCCTTCAATGGTGGATGTGACTCTATCTTGGCTGGAAATCTGAGCGTTTTTCAAAGGAATTCTCAGATTCTCTTATACGTTGTCAAATTCTCCAGCCATCGGTCTGTTTCCTTCACCTCTTATATAACTCAATTTTAAAAAGACAAAAGTCATTCTAATCAATCATCAGTTCGGCCATCAATTTGCTCTCTTTGCTTAGACATAATCTTGCAATTGTTATCTGTATTTAAATTTGTAGCCTGTTAAAAATAAAGCCCATGTGAGCTTACCGGTATTTTCCAAATTTTGACAATCAATGTGTCACTTTGTAAATAGAAAAAAAAAAGGTATTAACGTATACATGGAATTGGATAAGACTTCAGAAAGTATCTTTCCAAAAAAACTATTTTCTCCTATTTCTGCTAGGCTGAAGAACTCACCTAGCTAGAGAAACTCACTCCCAAGAGGTTCTAGCTGGTTTTGCTAAAACTTTTATTATCTTTACTGCTTATTAAGTCACTGATATCTGTTCTCCATGGTTGGATAAGTTTTATCTGTCAACATGGGATGATTTACTTATGCTGCTTCTTGCAAACAGGGCCCTAATAAATGAATGTCTTCCACATTGTATTTTTAGAAATGAGCATTTTATTATAAAAATGATGTATGTTCATAGTAAAAAATTTAAATTGTATGCATATGAACTGCAAAGTAGATAATACCCTCAATTCCAGTCCTCAGTAGATAATTGTTAATGATTTCCTTTCTATCTTTATAGATATTTCCTATGCACAAAGGTTTACATGTTCATACAAACAAAAAATGGAATAATTTATAGAATATTTTATACCTTAGTTCTTTCAATACATCTTTGTTTTCTTTACTTAATGGTGTATAGAATACTTTATAATGGCTACTTGAGGGGCCATACCTATTGTGGAATATTTAATTTCATATCTCTACTGGCTACACATGAGATCCAGAGCAAAAATATAAGGAAACAAAACAAAATATATGTGCCATGCCCTATAAAAAAAATCTTAGCTGGGTGATACTTAATGAGACAAGCTGTATAAAGTGCTAAAATATAAAACAAGATTCAAATAAAAAATAATAATGGCTACTAGTGTTTGCTAGTACAAACATTCTACAATTTATTTAATCAGTCTTCTATTGATGAAGTTTCTGGCATTGCAATGAATATTGCAGTACCCGTATCTTTGAATACCTATATTAAAATATTTGTGGAATAAATAAATGCTGAGTCAAAGAGTGTGTATTTTCAGTTTTAATATAGAGTTGTACCGATTTGCATGTCCACAGACAATGTAGATGGAGGGTACCTGTTGTCCTGCACGCTTGACAGCACTGAACATTATCCACTTCTAAAATCTTTGTCAAACCTACAGCTGAAAATGTCATTTGCAGCAAATAATTTGTATTTCTCTAATCATGAGTGAGGCTGAGCATCCTGTCCCATGTTCACAGCAGTCTGTATGTCTCGTGCTCACCGACTGTTGAAGAGTTTTTTGTTATGTTTTAAAAAATTGGCCTTTTATCACAGCCTGGCAGTCTCCTTCCCCACCCACTAGTTTGTTATACATTCCTGATCCAATTTTTTGGTGCGGTTTGTTGAGCAGAAGCCTTAAATGTTTACGTGGCTAAATTAATCACTCTTTTCCTTTATGGCTTCTGAGTTCCCCATTAGGTTTACTTTTCCAAGAAAGGAAGAACTGCTTCTAATTTAATCTCTATAATCAGCTGAGAGTAGTTGGAGAGGCTGGGTCCATTACTTATATATGGTGTGACCTTCTACAAGTTACTCATCCTCCCAGAACTTCAATTTCCTCATCTGTAAAATTGGGATAATAAAAGTGCCTTTAAAGGCTTCTCGTCAAGACCAAGTAAAATAATGTGGTTACAACTGAGTGCACGGCACACAGGAAGTGTTCAGTAAATGGTGGCTTTACTTCCCTGAGATTTTAAACACCATCACCACTTAACAGCTCCAGCAAATGAGTCACAGACATGTGGCAAATTCCTGTTTCTCTGGAAGGCAGAGAAAGCACTGGGAATGACAGCGTACCGCCCGTGGGCCAGTCCCTGGCTTGCTGTGGCACTGCCACAAATGCTGCTGTTGTGTAACTTCCTAGGAAGCAGGATTAATTCCTAGCATGGATCTTAAGTCACTCTGGGATCTAAGAGATGTTTCGATCATTCTGGGATTTATGCTTCTTGAAAAGGCTCAGGACAAATGGCAGTGAAGGCTACGTGGATACACAGTTTGTGGGTAAGCACAGCGTCATCACCTTAACTTTCATGAGAATGAAAAGAAGAAATTGCTCAAGAAAAAACCAGAATTGAGACAAGAAATACAAGTGTAAAAGCTTACATGGCATTTATATATATCTGTTTTTTTCTTTTAGAGATGGGGTCTTGCTCTATCACCCAGGCTGTAGTGCAATAGTGTGAGCATAGCTCACTGCGGCCTCGAACTCTTCCAGGGCTCAAACGATCCTCACACCTTAGCCTCCCCAATGGCCAGGACTACAGGTGCGTGCCAGCAAGTTTGGCTAATTTTTTTTTTTTTTGTAGAGGTGTGGGGGGTTCTCACTATGTTGCCAGGCTGATCTCAAACTCCCGGCCTGAAGCAATCCTCCTGCCTAGGCCTCCAAAGGGCTGGGATTATAGGTATGAGCCACTGCACCTGGCCGTTACATGGCATTCCATATAGGATTCCTCCTTTTTCAAATGAGAACTCATAGGCACTACACATTGCTGAGTCCTTTAGAACATAGAGAGAAATATATACACCTGGTTGAAGGTCGTGCTGAATATTCACACTCGGTCTCTTATCTGATTCTATTTATCATGGCTAAATAGGTAAAAAATATATAAAATATAAAAACTCCTCCAAAGAACTCAATTATTTAAAAAGCTGCTTACTTTAACAGAGAACAGAGTCAAACTTTAACCAATTCTTATATGAAGGAATCTACTTTCCCCATAATTTCTAATCAATGTAACCTTCTATTATTCAGGAAAAAAGGTAGCCTAGATCTAAGGTATCATGATGTAACTGATTCAGAGTGGCAGTAGCTTTTTTGGTTGAATTTCAATTTCCAAATAGCTAGAAAACACTCCTGTTGGCTACCTGTTGTTAACTTAGCATCAAGACTGCTGCTCAGGTACCAGGCCTAGCATACACTGACCTTAGCTACTATAAGAAATGCTAAGGATTAGCTATATTCCTATTAACATGTTTTCAGATGTGTTTTCACCAGAGAACTCAACTTGTTTATTTCCTACAGAAACCTCTACATAGAGCACAGCACAATCTCTCAAATACAGCAGCAATGCTATCATCCAACTTACATGATCTTCCAGTGCGGCTTTGACAATCCTCCCTTTGAGAGGCGCAGGCTATGACCTCTTGCCTTGAAAATGGGTGGGCTTTTATGACTGCTCCCGCTAGTAGAGGGCGGTGGAAATGATGCTATGTGACTTCTGAGGCTAGGTGACAAAGATAGCGGAGCTTCCACCTGCTGACTTGCACACTTGCTACCATATAAGGAAGCTAACAATTCAGAAGACACTGCAGTAAGGAAGGCCAGGCCGCTTGGAGAGGTGAAATGTTCTCCAGCCATCACCCCAGCAAGTCCCAGCAGCCAGCCAGCGTCCAGTGCCAGATGTGTAAGTAAAGATGCCTCATCCCAGCCTAGCCAAGCAGTCACTCCCAGTCTTCGAGTCTTCCCAGACAAGGCCCCAGCATCACAGAATGGAGACAAGGACACGTGAGCACAATAAAATCAGTGCTTTATGTCACAAAGTTTTGAGGCAGTTTGTTACATGGCAATAGATAACCAGATTTTTACTCTAGGTTTACTTGAAAACAGGCCACCTTGCAACTGCTAAGGATAAATGATTCCCCAAAGCAGTGCAAAACTTCTGCAGAACAATGCAAACGCATTAGCCGCCTTGCCCATTAATATCCTGCTCAGCAGCCACGCTTTGGGAGGCAGTCGTTCATCTCTCCCTCCCTACATCAAAGCTAAGCAATGGATTCCCCATAAGTCATCAGGCTGCTCCAGGATTAGTGGTGAGGGGGCAGATCTGGTGAGGGTTTTCTGAAAATAAAGTAAAATATTTAGATCATTTTGCAAGTTGCTTTTCAGATGCCACATTTTTCTCTTTCATCTGTTCCAGCTGACAACGTGTGACAGTTGTCTCTGTGGCTGTTTAACCTTAAAACCATTTATCCTGAGATCATTAAAGATGAATGTCAGGCTGGATTTGCTATGTGTAAAGTAAACTAACAGGATGTTACTATGCCAGAAGAGTACAATAATAACTTATTGTTAATATTTGTTTTGCAAAACAGATGAAATACAAATTCTCTAATACAAAGTCTAACACAAAACAACGGGATGGGGAAGGGAAATATGGTATTGACTAACCTGAATCTATAAGGATCCTCATTTCTGGTGGGGAGAAAAAAAGGAGGTGGGATAAAGAGCCAGAGTATTACCTCTGAAGCTTGGGAGGGTTGGCAGCAACTTGGTGGGCTTGGTGACAGCACCCCTGATTTGGCCTTTCTGACACCTTTTAAATATCTTGACCAACATACAAGGATATAAAAATAGTGACGCACACACATCATATCCCACATGTTCACAGGTTACAAATTCAATACATTCGTCATTACATGTATTTTCACACCAGCATCTATTATCGATTTTTATACATTATAGAAATAATTTCATATTCCTCTGCTAACATTGTTTAACATAAACAGATTAAGATTTTTAACCATTAAGCAGTATATTTTTTAAGCCCATTAGCTTTTGCCTATCTATTTTCCTTCAATCTAGTTTTCAAAAATCCTATTATCAAAGTCAGTTCTGAGCATGACTTCACAGTGCCCAGCCCAGTGTGTGGTGCAGAGTGAGTACTTAGCCAATGTTTTGATGGACGGGAAAGGGAACCCCAGGCCAAAGCAGTGAATATATGGTTTGCCAAAAGATACAAAAAGGGCTAGTTATTACTTTGGCAGCTGAGGTTGAGATAAATTTTAAACAGCCTAAGAAATTCATAGAAGGGGGGTGGAGCCAAGATGGCCGAATAGGAACAGCTCCAGTCTGCAGCTCCCAGCATGAGTGATGCAGAAGACGGGTGATTTCTGCATTTCCAACTGAGGTACCGGGTTCATCTCACTGGGCAGTGTCGGACAGTGGGTGCAGAACAGTGGGTGCAGCGCACCGAGCATGAGCCGAAGCAGCGGAAGGTATCGCCTCACCCGGGAAGCACAAGGGGTCAGGGAATTCCCTTTCCTAGTCAAAGAAAGGGGTGACAGATGGCACCTGGAAAATCGGGTCACTCCCACCCTAATACTGTGCTTTTCCAGTGGTCTTAGCAAACAGCACACCAGGAGATTATATCCCGCGCCTGGCTCGGAGGGTCCTACGCCCACGGAGCCTCGCTCATTGCTAGCACAGCAGTCTGAGATCAAACTGCAAGGTGGCAGCGAGGCTAGGGGAGGGGCACCTGCCATTGACAAGGTGTGAGTAGGTAAACAAAGCGGCCAGGAAGCTCGAACTGGGTGGAGCCCACTGCAGCTCAAGGAGGTCTGCCTGCCTCTGTAGACTCTACCTCTGGGGGCATGCATAGCCAAACAAAAGGCAGCAGAAACCTCTGCAGACTTAAATGTCCCTGTCTGACAGCTTTGAAGAGAGCAGTGGTTCTCCCAGCACGCAGCTGGAGATCTGAGAACAGGCAGACTGCCTCCTCAAGTGGGTCCCTGACCCCTGAGTAGCCTAACTGGGAGGCATCCCCCAGTAGGGGCAGACTGACACCTCACACGGCCGGGTACTCCTCTGAGACAAAACTTCCAGAGGAACGATCAGGCAGCAACATTTGCTGTTCACCAGTATCCGCTGTTCTGCAGCCTCCACTGCTGATACCCAGGCAAACACGGTCTGGAGTGGACCTCCAGCAAACTCCAACAGACCTATAGCTGAGGGTCCTGACTGTTAGAAGGAAAACTAATGAACAGAAAGGACATCCACACCAAAACCCCATCTGTACGTCACCATCATCAAAGACCAAGGGTAGATAAAACCACAAAGATGGGGAAAAAACAGAGCAGCAAAACTGGAAACTCTAAAAATCAGAGCACCTCTCCTCCTCCAAAGGAACGCAGCTCCTCACCAGCAATGGAACAAAGCTGAATGGAGAATGACTTTGACGAGTTGAGAGAAGAAGGCTTCAGACGATCAAACTACTCCGAGCTAAAGGAGGAAGTTTGAACCCATTGCAAATAAGCTAAAAACCTTGAAAAAAAATTAGATGAATGGCTAACTGGAATAACCAATGCAGGGAAGTCCTTAAAGGACCTGAAAACCACGGCACGAGAACTATGTGATGAATGCACAAGCCTCGGTAGCCGATTCGATCAAATGGAAGAAAGGGTATCAGTGATGGAAGATCAAATGAACGAAATGAAGCGAGAAGAGAAGTTTAGAGAAAAAAGAATAAAAATAAATGAACAAGGCCTCCAAGAAATATGGGACTATGTGAAAAGACCAAATCTATGTCTGATTGGTGTACTTGAAAGTGATGGGGAGAATGGAACCAAGTTGGAAAACACTCCGCAGGATATTATCCAGGAGAACTTCTCCAATCTAGCAAGGGAGGCCAACATTCAAATTCAGGAAATACAGAGAATGTCACAAAGATACTCCTCGAGAAGAGCAACTCCAAGACACGTAATTGTCAGATTCACCAAAGTTGAAATGAAGGAAAAAATGTTAAGGGCAGCCAGAGAGAAAGGTCGGGTTACCCACAAAGGGAAGCCCATCAGACTAACAGCGGATCTCTCGGCAGAAACTCTACAAGCCAGAAGAGAGTGGGGGCCAATATTCAACATTCTTAAAGAAAAGAATTTTCAACCCAGAATTTCATATCCAGCCAAACTAAGCTTCATAAGTGAAGGAGAAATAAAATCCTTTACAGACAAGCAAATGCTGAGAGATTTTGTCACCACCAGGCCTGCCCTAAAAGAGCTCCTGAAGGAAGCACTAAACATGCAAAGGAACAACCAGTACTAGCCACTGCAAAATCATGCCAAATTGTAAAGACCATCGAGGCTAGGAAGAAACGGCATCAACTAACGAGCACAATAACCAGCTAACATCATAATGACAGGATCAAATTCACACATAACAATATTAACCTTAAATGTAAATGGACTAAATGCTCCAATTAAAAGACACAGACTGGCAAATTGGATAAAAAGTCAAGACCCATCAGTGTGCTGTATTCAGGAAACCATCTCACGTGCAGAGACACACATAGGCTCAAAATAAAGGGATGAAGGAAGATCTACCAAGCACATGGAAAATAAAAAAAGGCAGAGGTTGCAATCCTAGTCTTGGATAAAACAGACTTTAAACCAACAAGATCAAAAGAGACAAAGAAGGCCATTACATAATGGTAAAGGGATCAATTCAACAAGAAGAGCTAACTATCCTAAATATATATGCACCCAATACAGGAGCACCCAGATTCATAAAGCAAGTCCTTAGAGACCTACAAAGAGACTTAGACTCCCACACAATAATAATGGGAGACTTTAACACCCCACGGTCAACATTAGACAGATCAACGAGACAGGAAGTTAACAAGCATATCCAGGAACTGAACTCAGCTCTGCACCAAGCGGACCTAATAGACATCTACAGAACTCACCACCCCAAATCAACAGAATATACATTTTTTTCAGCACCACACCACACCTATTCCAAAATTGACCACATACTTGGAAGTAAAGCACTCCTCAGCAAATGTAAAAGAACAGAAATTATAACAAACTGTTTCTCAGACCACAGTGCAATCAAACTAGAACTCAGGATTAAGAAACTCACTCAAAACCGCTCAACTACATGGAAACTGAACAACCTGCTCCTGAATGACTACTGGGGACATAACGAAATGAAGGCAGAAATAAAGATGTTCTTTGAAACCAACGAGAACAAAGACACAACATACCAGAATCTCTGGGACGCATTCAAAGCAGTGTGTAGAGGGAAATTTATAGCACTAAATGCCCACAAGAGAAAGCAGGAAAGATCTAAAATTGACACCCTAACATCACAATTAAAAGAACTAGAGAAGCAAGAGCAAACACATTCAAAAGCTAGAAGGCAAGAAATAACTAAGATCAGAGCAGAACTCAAGGAAATAGAGACACAAAAAACCCTTCAAAAAATCAATGAACCCAGGAGCTGGTTTTTTGAAAAGATCAACAAAATTGAGAGACTGCTAGCAAGACTAATAAAGAAGAAAAGAGAGAAGAATCAAATAGACACAATAAAAAATGATAAAGGGGATATCACCACTGATCCCACAGAAATACAAACTACCATCAGAGAATACTATAAACACCTCTATGCAAATAAACTAGAAAATCTAGAAGCAATGGATAAATTCCTCGACACATACACCCTCCCAAGACTAAACCAGGAAGAAGTTGAATCTCTGAATAGACCAATAACAGGCTCTGAAATTGAGGCAATAATTAATAGCTTACCAACCAAAAAAAGTCCAGGACCAGATGGATTCACAGCCGAATTCTACCAGACATACAAGGAGGAGCTGGTACCATTCCTGTTGAAACTATTCCAATCAATAGAAAAAGGGGGAATCCTCCCTAACTCATTTTATGAGGCCAGCATCATCCTGATACCAAAGCCTGGCAGAGACACAACAAAAAAAGAGAATTTTAGACCAATATCCCTCATGAACATCAATGCAAAAATCCTCAATAATATACTGGCAAACCAAATCCAGCAGCACATCAAAAAGCTTATCCACCATGATCAAGTGGGCTTCATCCCTGGGATGCAAGGCTGCTTCAACATACGCAAATCGATAAACGTAATCCAGCATATAAACAGAACCAAAGACAAAAACCACACGATTATCTCAATAGATGCAGAAAAGGCCTTTGACAAAATTCAACAACACTTCATGCTAAAAACTCTCAATAAATTAGGTATTGATGGGACGTATCTCAAGATAATAAGAGTTATGTATGACGAACCCACAGCCAATTTCATACTGAATGGGCAAAAACTGGAAGCATTCCCTTTGAAAACTGGCACAAGACAGGGATGCCCTCTCCCACCACTCCTATTCAACACAGTGTTGGAAGTTCTGGCCAGGGCAATCAGGCAGGAGAAGGAAATAAAGTGTATTCAATTAGGAAAAGAGGAAGTCAAATTGTCCCTGTTTGCAGATGACATGATTGTATATCTAGAAAATCCCATCGTCTCAGCCCAAAATCTCCTTAAGCTGATAGGCAACTTCAGCAAAGTCTCAGGATACAAAATCAATGTGCAAAAATCACAAGTATTCTTATGCACCAATAACAGACAAACAGAGAGCCAAATCATGAGTGAACTCCCATTCACAATTGCTTCAAAGAGAATAAAATACCTAGGAATCCAACTTACAAGGGACGTGAAGGACCTCTTCAAGGAGAACTACAAACCACTGCTCAAAGAAATAAAAGAGGATACAAACAAATGGAAGAACATTCCACACTCATGGGTAGGAAGAATCAATATCATGAAAATGGCCATACTGCCCAAGGTAATTTACAGATTCAATGCCATACCCATCAAGTTACCAATGACTTTCTTCACAGAATTGGAAAAAAACTACTTTAAAGTTCATATGGAACCAAAAAAGAGCCCACATTGCCAAGTCAATCCTAAACCAAAAGAACAAAGCTGGAGGTATCACCCTACCTGACTTCAAACTATACTGCAAGGCTACAGTAACCAAAACAGCATGGTATTGGTACCAAAACAGAGATATAGACCAATGGAGCAGAACAGAGCCCTCAGAAATAATGCCGCATATCTACAACTATCTGATCTTTGACAAACCTGAGAAAAACAAGCAATGGGGAAAGGATTCCCTATTTAATAAATGGTGCTGGGAAAACTGGCTAGCCATATGTAGAAAGCTGAAACTGGATCCCTTTCTTACACCTTATACAAAAATTAATGCGAGATGGATTAAAGACTTAAATGTTAGACCTAAAACCATAAAAACCCTAGAAGAAAACCTAGGCAATACCATTCAGGGCATAGGCATGGGCAAGGACTTCGTGTCTAAAACACCAAAAGCAATGGCAACAAAAGCCAAAATTGACAAATGGGATCTAATTAAACTAAAGAGCTTCTGCACAGCAAAAGAAACTACCATCAGAATGAACAGGCAACCTACAAAATGGGAGAAAATTTTTGCAATCTACTTATCTGACAAAGGGCTAATACCCAGAATCTACAATGAACTCAAACAAATTTACAAGAAAAAAACAACCCCATCAAAAAGTGGGCAAAGGATATGAACAGATACTTCTCAAAAGAAGACATCTATGCAGCCAACAGACACATGAAAAAATGCTCATCATCACTGGCCATCAGAGAAATGCAAATCAAAACCACAATGAGATACCATCTCACACCAGTTAGAATAGCGATCATTAAAAAGTCAGGAAACAACAGGTGCTGGAGAGGATGTGGAGAAATAGGAACACTTTCACACTATTGGTGGGACTGTAAACTAGTTCAACCATTGTGGAAGTCAGTGTGGCAATTCCTCAGGGATCTAGAACTGAAATACCATTTGACCCAGCCATCCCATTACTGGGTATATACCCAAAGGATTATAAAACATGCTGTTATAAAGACACATGCACATGTATGTTTATTGTGGCACTATTCACAATAGCAAAGACTTGGAACCAACCCAAATGTCCAACAATGAAAGACTGGATTAAGAAAATGTGGCACATATATACCATGGAATACTATGCAGCCATAAAAAAGGACGAGTTCATGTTCTTTGTAGGGACATGGATGAAGCTGGAAACCATCATTCTTAGCAAACTATAGCAAGGACAAAAAACCGAACACCACATGTTCTCACTCATAGGTGGGAATTGAACAATGAGAACACATGGACACAGGAAGGGGAACATCACACACTGGGGCCTGTTGCGTGGTGTGGGCAGCGGGGGGGGAGAGCATTAGGAGATATACCTAATGTTAAATGACGAGTTAATGGGTGCAGCACACCAACATGGCACATGTATACATATGTAACAAACCTGCATGTTGTGCACATGTACCCTAAAACTTAAAGTATAATAATAATTAAAAAAAGTTCATAGAAAGAAAGACTGTTATCATCCACAATATCAAACCTGCATGACTTCTGCAGACATCTATTGAGCACTCACTATGGCCCAGGCACTGTGCTAAGAAATGCAGGGGAAACAGATGAAATCTCATCATCCACCAGTCTTTCTTGGGCGTGCTTCTGGGAGCTGTAAATTCAGCTCCGGCATCATTTTCACCCTTCACGTGGGAATCCTGAGGCAGCAGAAGTGATCTGAATATCCTCCGAGTGGTCTTGTGGGAAGAGTATTCTAAAGTTATTCAATCTAAATAACATCATTTAAAAATTACAGTCTTCATTTTTGCTAATACAAGGAGAGTTTTCTCACCTTAAAATTGGAGGAAATATTGTCAAGCAACTAGACTTGAATAGGAAGGGGCCCAATATGGGCCTCTTCTAGGAAGCCCTTGAGTGCGGCCTCAGCTCTGGTCCTGGGTGAGGCCTATGGTAGCTGGTCCAAGAGAGGGTATAGCATGTTCCCCTTACCCCAGCGTCCAGCCCCCTAGGCCTAAAGCAAAAACCTCGTACGCTTTATCTACTCCAGGTAGAATTTAAAATGCCTTCTCCAGCCCAGAGTCACTCTGGCTTAAATTGCTCCCCAATCCAAGTTCTGCCTACACTGTGCAGCAGAGTAGGCCAGGTCCTGAGGACACCCCTCATTCACTGCAGTCACACAGTGGGCCAGTCACCTCAGGACTAAAGCCACCCTGGTGCAATAGTGACTTGCAGGGTGTTGCAAAGAGGCCTAACTGCTCACCTCCGTGGCCACGATTTAGGATGGGTTGGAAGGACTGGACAGGGCAGTTCTGAAGCCAGCCATTGGATCTCCCCACCTAAATCTTTTCAATACTTTAGTGTGAAGAGACCCAGAGGAAACCAAGGGGGGATCTTAGTTCCTGTACCTGGCTCAAAAATAATGAATCCTTTATGAAAAAGCAACTATACGTACAAGGGAAAAAAATTCTTCCTTGAAATGGCAGATGTGAGGAAACTATTGATTGGTTCTGGCCCCAAATGATAGGAACCCTCCCCTTTTGCTTCCATTCTGCTTGCGGCTGCCTCTGCTGCTTCTTGGGCTGGCTGTGAAGAGCCTCCTGCCTCCAAGTGACAACCCCACACACTGATATCATGAGCCTCCATGGGTTCCACGGTGTTTAGGGTCAAGGGTTCTGAGTTTCTTTACTTCAAGAAGAGAAATTATAAAGAAAATTGCTCTCCGGCTCCACTTAATCTTTTTTCCTTGATTGCTAAGGGGGAAGGCACACAAATTCTTCCCTGGCTGGTGAATGGGCAATCTGAATGACTTCAGAAGCTTAAATAGAGTGCTGGGAGTGACAGAAACCTGTCTTAATAGAGTCCTTTCACAAACATAATAGAATTCGGCTCCTGTTAGCAAGAAAAACATCTGATGGCTGAGATTAGCTCCCTAAATTGTCCTTTCAACATCCATTCCACCTCTCCACTCAATGTGTAAGATGTCTCCTTTAGGTGACAGGTACTGGGATTTTTGAGATGGTATTTAAGAGAGAGAAAGAAGCTTCCTGACTGGAAGCACTAAGCAGTGCTTGGAGGGTGAAGCTAGCTCCTTGTTGCAGCTTTTTGTTTATACAGCTGGCTTACTCTAGGGTAAGGGTGATGGAAATAGCTCTTGGAAATAAAGCGCAGCATTTGCTAACATAGGAGGGCAGTGATCATGAAAACAAGCGAATCACCTTAGTTGGCAGAAATCCTCAGAGAATGACATGCCAGTTTAATTTTCTGGATACTCAGGGATTCATAAGGACATCATCCCTTGGTCTCACTCTTGAAGGGACTCTTTCTCAGCTGTAGTTTTGCATACTAGTGCGCAGGGCTGGGCAGGTGATGGGCGTGCGGCAGAACCAGGTGAGGGGCCGGGGACGTGTCAGTGGGGTTTATTATGAACACAGCTGGCACATCGGGGATGGTCCTCTGAGGACCCAGGCTGTGACTGCTCATGCACAGGAATGCAGGTAACAATGATGACACCGTTATTCACCTGAATTAGGCTTTAAGCGGTTGACAAAGCTCTGAAAGGCAAGCCGGGCAGGTATACAAGAAACCGCGTTCTGAGGGGGAAAGTTATAATCTCTCTATAAAACTGCTATTTTGAGCAAAGGCTTGGAACCAACCCAAATGCCCATCAGTGATAGACTGGAAAAAGAAAATGTGGCACATATACACCATGGAATACTATGCAGCCATAAAAAAGAATGAGTTCATGTCTTCTGCAGCAACACAGATGAAGCTGGAAACCATCATTCTCAGCAAACTAACACAAGAACAGAAAACCAAATACCACATGTTCTCACTCATAAGTGGGAATTGAAGAATGAGAACACATGGACACAGGAAGGGGAACATCACATACCGGGGCCTGTCGAGAGGTAGAGGGCAAGGGGAGGGAGAGCATTAGGACAAATATCTAATGCCTCCGGGGCTTAAAACCTAGATGACGGGTTGACGGGTGCAGCAAACCACCATGGCACATGTATACCTATGTAAATAACTTGCAGTTCTGCACATGAATCCCGGAACTTAAAGTAAAAGAAAAAAAAAAAGAAAAAAACAAAAACAAAAAAACACTGCTCTTTTGTAGCAGAGGTGGACCAGACTCACGTTTCCCAGCTCCTAGGCTGGTGGTCTCTCCTGTATCCCTAGAAATCCTTTTCCTGCCCTGAAGAGACAGCCAGGGAATTCTGGGAGTGAGGAGCAGCTCCCAGACTAACTTAGCACACTGGAATCAAAGCTAGGCAAATGTTCACCCAGGAATAATAAAACCTATTCCTTCTTCCTCCCAGAAAATGACATCACTATTCACCTGCTCACTTAGTCCCAAACCCAGGATGTGTCCTTGTCTCCTGGCTTTTCCTCACACCCTACAGAGCATGCCCTGTGCATTCTGCCTTCAGAGTGACCCTGACTCTCTCCATTCCTGTGCCCGCCCTCCCAGTCCAGGCCACCCAGACGGCTGAAAGCCTCTAACAGCCCTCTGCTACCCTCTTCTCTGACAGTCCATTCTCTCAATAAGTCAGATCACATGCTAAATGAGTAAATCTGTCCCACCCCTTAAAACCCTCCATCTCACTTAGACCCCAGGCTGAGGCCCACACAGCCCTACATGTCCCAGCCCCTGCTTCCCTCTCTGAACACGTTTCTTCCCACAGCCATGTCAAACTCGGTTCTGCCTCAGTGCCTTTGCACGTGCTGTTCCCGCTATGTCCCCAGCCTTTCCATGGTCCCTTACTTCCCTGCTTTCTCAGGAGTCTTCCCTGACTCTCCTTAAAATGAGTTACTGCTTTTCACTTCACTCTCTGCCCCACACACTCCTTTACTTTTCTTCACTGCGGGTGTCACTACTTGAAATCACACTGCAGATGAACTTATTCACTTATTTAGTTTAGTGTCTGTCTTTCGCAATGCCTGGAAGCTCCATGAGGGCAGAGCCTTGTCATCCTGGTCCCTATGTATCAGCTGCAGCTGAACAGGACCTGGCTGACAGCAGGGCTCCGTACCTATTGAGTGCATGGATAAAAGAATGACATGCAAGGCAAGGGGGAAAAGCCCCATCTGCTCACTAAGGACTGAACAGACCAACTGGAGTCCAGCACAGGACGTTTTACATAAATTCAGTGTGGAAAAGAATGACACATTCAGTGTTCCCTTCGGATAGAGCCAGGCTGCCCATAATAACATCTTTGCAAATGAATTCCACCACCCCTACTTTATACTTCTTTACAACTTATTATTAAACTACCTTAAAAAAATACAAGGGTCTTGCATAGTGTCTGGTATATGATGAAATTTCAATATTTATTGCCGAATTTAAAAAATTTCTCATCTGCCATTAAATTTTCTTTTTCCCTGCTTCCTCTATTTCCTTCCAATACAAATGTATATTTTTACATTGTTGTAACTATATATAGATATTAATTTGTTTCCTGTTTTTCTTTGGTAATACTTTTTGATGCTGCAACCTAGTTATTGTCATTTTTAACAGCTAGGTAATATTCCATCAAGGTGATGTACTATAATTTGCTTTTTGTAGTCTCCTCCTTTGGGCATTCAGTTACTAAAAGTTCACTGAGAGTAGAAATGCTAAACAAATGGAGGTAGAGTCGGAAGTGTCCTTTTAGCAGAACCAAAACCACATGCTGACCAGGGCAGAGTAAAATGGCATGCTGGTCTGTCACCCAGCAGCCTGAATTCCGACTCTTTACCACGTTAGTTTATTAGAGCAAACTGTAGGTTGCTGTTAGAAAGCTCTAAATCACTTTACAAATTATTGATGAAAGAATGACTTCAAGCACCAAACAAATGTAGCCACCAGCCTCAGGAAAAGCACCAAAAGAGGGAGGGATCCAGAGAAGGAAGGGAGGGGGAGAAGCAACAGCTCTAAGGAAGCTGAGAAGACTTCAACAAAGGCCTTGCTAGAGCCTGTTTTATTTCTTCGATCTCTTGAGAATACAGTCAGCAGTTTGTCAGCAGATGGATCAGCCAAAGTCAGAGGGGAAGAAAGGGCTTGTCTATCTTGGGGATTTCCCCACCTTTCGTTGTTAAAATGCTTCATAAGCTGCTGCAAAGGAGTGATTTTCTTCTTTTTCCGTTTTTTAAGTAACTTTTTCCCCCTGTACACAAATGAAATACTCATTGAAAATAATTTGGGAACTACGGGAAGGCATAAAGAAAGTAAAAATCACCTGTAGTCCTGTGAGCCATGGATAACCATTGTGAAAACTGGATCTGCTGTCCCGCTCTCCCTCATGGACATAACATGAATATTTATAAAATGTGAACTAGGTCACATATTCTTCTCTTTACCCTTTAAGCCCATTGTTATATTGTGAACTTTTTTTTTCAAAGGTGCACAGCTATTCTTTAAGATGTTTTAAATACCTGCAAAATAGTTCCTTGTCCAGATGAATAAACTATAATGTATTTGTTTCTCAATAGGTAACATTCAGGTTGCTTCCAAATTTTCAGTCTAATAAAGAAGAATGCAGACATCTTTGAACCTTTCTCAGATAAATCTCTTAGCACAGATTGTTAAGAAGCAGAATTACCAGATCAAGGGTATGGGCACTTCCAGGCTGATTCGTGTTGACAAAACACAAACTTGGAGATTTACACTCAACACGGCCTTCTATGAGGGCGATTATGTCACTACTTCCTCATCGGAAGCAGATATTATTGTTTTTATATTTTTAACTGTAGATGAAAAATGGAATCATTATTTTAAATTACATTTCTTTGATTACTGGTGAGGTAAAACTTTTACATTTTGTTTTCTGGCTGTAAGTGTAGATCAACTGTTTAGTGAACTGTTTTTATTGAGCTGCTGCTCATTTTTCTATTAGAACAAATTTTGTTTTCACTGGTTGTTGGAGCTACTGTAACAGTACTTTGTAGAAGCAAAAAAAAAAAAAAGACAACGTCTGTACTTTTTGCAGAACAAACAAGAGGTGCATGAAAACAAAATTAGAAGGAAATATACCAAAATGTTGACCAGGGGTTATGGATTAGGTGGTAGGACTGTGGGTACTTGCTGAATTTTCTAGAAGCAGCCTAATAAAAAGGTAACAATAAACCATCTTCCATATACGCCTCATGTGGTGCTGATGGCAGGACCGATGGGGCAGCTGTATGGGAAATACAGGGAGGACTGATTTTCCTTTTATTTCTAGTTGATCATAATTCTCATTTAGCGTTTTCCCTATGTTCACCTGTGTTGTTGATAGAGATGCCTACCAGAAATCCTTTTCTAGCTGGCCCTGTGGATAAACAATGGCAGGTGACAGCTGCCCAAGCTGGTGGTGTGGATGCTTATGCGTAACCCATGGCTACTCATGCCTAACCCGTGGCTACTCTGACCATCAGCTGCAGCCTTGTTTTCCTGGTTATGTGTCTCAGTGTTGGTTGGGCACCTTCACTGAAGTACAACTTTGCTCACATTCACACAACGTCCAAGCACACACAAGTGCTCTGAGCATAAGCATTGTTTCTAATGCCTTCATCAAGACCCTAACAGCATCAGAGCTACGCTACATTCTGTAGAAAATCAAATAATCATTAAAATAACTGTGATTATGTAGCAAGAAGGAAAGATTGCTGTGGACATATACCTGGCAATAGCTGTTTCCATATTGGGTTGGAGGATGAAATTCAACTTTAGAGGGAGAACAACTCTTTAGGAAAACACTTTGATGAATTTTCTTATGAAAAGTAATGCCCTCAGGAACCGGGAAGTAAAACGGAAAGTAAAAGGATCTCACTCTAGGGTGTTGTTATGAAGGAAATGTGTGCGTTGGGGGGTGGGGGTGGGGGAAGTGAGGGTTCCTCTGAGTCAGGACAAAAAAGATAGGAGTTTTGGGAGGACCAGGCACTCAGGAAAAACCAGGAAAGGATAGAAGCTTTTCTAAAGAGACGGCTGCTTCCAGGTATGAATCTATTCACAGGGCAAGGATGGAGAGTAAGAGATTATGGTGATGAATCACTGATAAACTGTCAAAACTGCAATGTGGAAATTCAATTTTAATAGTTTCCTCTCCATTATTTCTTTTGAAAGGCATTGTACTGTTTAGGAGACCCTGGGAAAAGAGGGAGGTAAGGCGATCAGTATTGTGGACATGTTAACAACCCAGGGAGTGTTGACAGAGGGGTGATGGAGGAGGGTCTTGAAGCCAGAATTTAGAGCTGGAGGAGGCAGGAGGACATAAATAACCCCAGGCAATCTGCAAAAGCACTCAACAGGGCAGGCCAGTGCAGTAGGGCTTAATGTTTTTATTTGGATTTTAGAGGGAAGGGTAGAAGGAGGCTGGTGACCCCAGGACACATTTTGGTCGCAATTATGTTCCAGAGGCTGGTATCACTCATTTTGAGGACCAAGTTTTAATGTCTTGTGCAGCTAAGGTCTCTCAGGATATAGAGGGTATCACCCCTAGAAAGCATAGCCTGAAGGAAGCATTAGAAACTGAGAGGTTTGCTTTGTCACCTCGGTTTTCTGGCCTTCAACAGGTCAATTGCAGCATGTCATCTCTTCACCAGCAAAAAAATTTGTGAGACTATTTCCTAAGGACAAGCCTCTGGCAGGATGTTCCTAGAGCTTAGCTTACTATTCCAGCCACAAATCAATGTGTTTCAGACATTCCTTCTGATCCAAGGGGCACCACTTCTGGATCAAGACAAGACTGCAGCCTAATTCACCAGGTCATAAAACAGACAGTGGGGAAAATCTCCAGGAAGCACACAGCAGGTATTTCCGCATTCGGTCAGCTGGTAGAACTTTCAGAGAAGTTCTTGGGAAATTTACAGAGCTCATTCCAAAACTTTGGAGAAAGAGGGGCTTAAAATAGAAAATGAATTATTTATCATATTCTCTCTGTAACTCACAGACTTTAAAGAGCACGTACCAGGGTGTTTCCCTCCTAGCTTCCATACCACTCAGCCAGGTAGGTCCCTCTTTGGCCCTTCTGAAGGATGTGGGAATGAGACATGTTTGAAGCTCCAGAGGCCAAGAAGAGTGCAAGCAGCCCTCGTATTACAAAGGATGGCTATGTGTGAAATGAGGTGAATCTCTTCCCTGAGAGATTATTTACTTATAAAGTAAGAGGCTATCTGCAGCAGTGGTTGAGGGCGCAGCACTGACAATGCAGACTATAAAAGTATGTCCTCTCTGATGTAAACTTAGTGCCTCTGAAAGAAGCCATGGCCTGAGGGGCTAATCCCAGCCAACAAGTACCCTCTTCCAGGAGGCCAAAGCGTCTCCTCAAGGCACCAGCTCAGATTTCCTATCTCCCTCCCATCCACCTTTCCTCCCAAGTCTACAAAGGATGGCAACCTTCAAGCGTTGATGGAAATGTCCCTTAAAACATGGACATCTGCTAAGTCTACAAAATAGTCTTGGCTGCTTATCAGACCTCCAGGAACTTGGGTGAGGTGTGGTAAGGGGAGGGGACGTGGGAGGCTAGAAACACAGGCACCTTTTAGAGGATGCTTCTTTGAGAAAGAGATTGTGACAAACTGTTTATGTGTTGGCTTCCCTCATGAGGTTTCTCACTGAGTTCCCCCTTTCTACGACTGCTTCCCAGGCTCTTCGTTTTGCTCAGCTCAAAGCCTCGGAGGCTTTGATGCCTTGATCTCTCTTGCTTTTCTCTTAGTTTTCTCTCTCAGTTTTCCACATCCATCCATTTCTTGCAATTTTCAAAGATGCCATTCGAATCCATACTTTCATTGTTGCCATCTGCATTAACAGACTGCCTGACAGACTGATTCATTCACTCATTCATTCCTCACCCATTTACTGCACTCCTCCTTGGTGCTGGGCATGAGACATAATTCCTACCCTCAGGAATTTCACAATCAAGTCAGCAAACAGACATGTGAACCCTTCAAGTAGCTGCGAGATAAAACTATATGTGTGAGAAATGAACACACACTCTGTTATATAAGCTCACAGGGAAGAACAATGACTCTTGCCTTTGACTCTTTGACTACAGCCCCTTGCTTGGCTTTGCATGGGCTGGGTAGCCACTCCTCTCTGTCCTACTCATTGAAGCCAGGATAATTTCCCAAAGCATCACTGCAAGGCCACTGTCACTAACAGGGACTTACCTGTGGCACTGGCTCCCACACAGGTGTCTTGGTTCTGATTGTTGGAAAGTATTTGGAGCAGAACACTTAAATGCTCTACTGCCAGAGAAGTCTAGCCAGAGGAATTTGATTACGCTGGTTCATTGCCAAGTTCTTTAACCAATATTACAGTGTGAAGGGGCGAGGCAGAGGCAGGAGCATTTGTACCTTGCCAGAGAGGAAAGCCGGAAGAAATAACTTGAATGGGAGCTAGGAGGAGATAGAAGAAAGCAGAACACAAACCTTACCTACTTTACGGTTCCTCTTCAGACCAGGCCTTTTTAATTATGGTTGCTTTGATTCTCAGTATTTATACCATGCCAATATAAAAAGAAAGCAAGACACATGGTTTGCTCAAGAATTTGTTATGATTCACAAATTTATATGAAAGTTAATCATCTTTGGTTATATAAAAATTAATCATCTTTGGTTTGTTTTAAATGAAAAAATAACATTTCATGAAATTAATTGAAAACAGTTTTAGATGTGTGGGCACTTTAAATACACATATGGCTCTGAATTGAGATTGATTTTTAAAAATAATTGTTTCCAATGATAATAACCATCTCCTGGTTGTTCCAGGAATGACTATACTCTGTGGTTTTCTCAAATGGAATTTTCTTTGTACTAGGTAAATATTGAGACAACATTTAAGTTGGCTCAAGTCTGTCTATATTGATTGCAGAAAGCAGCAAATATCACAGGACAATACCAGAATGAGAGAGGGAATCTCGCAGTCATAAGACGGGGCATACACTTGAGATTGACTACCAAGATTTTCTCTAACATAGAATAAAAGCACACACTAAGTCCTAGTAAGTTTGGGAGCATTCAATAGATAATTAAACAAAATGAAAGTCTCACATTCAGAAATATGACTTCAGATATAATTCTTTTAACTGCTGTGAGCACTTTCTATAAAAATCCTATTTGCAATCATTGAATATATGATTATAAGGCATGTGGCATACAGTCCACCTTCATGTGACATTGTAAATGTCCTTATTGCTAGCTCTGCTCTTTGCAATGGTTTTATTTGAATGTTATTGAGAATTAAAGCAGATCCCAGACTCGGACACCACAGGCATGTGCAATAAAATATATCGTTAGTCTCATAATTTTAAAATAGATTATATAAATCCAAATTTGCAAATATGTATCCAGTCTAATATGTGTACTGTTTGTATTTAACGAATACAAAATCCAATTGAAGGCCATGCCTAATCTGAGAATGTAGGAGGAAAGAGAAGAATCAAATAAATGAAATCATCTATAAAAGACAAGAGCAGAATCCCTTCATTCATCTCACGCTCGGTTCAAGTGTGTTTCCTTTAGGACTGGAGCTGACATCTTTGAGTGTCCTTAAGAAAAGCTTCTTGCGTACATAAATGGGCTGTGCTAAATTAAGCCTTTCTGTCACAAACTTGAGTCAGGTTGTTTTGACTGCCATTTTACTATTTTTTTTTATATGAGCCTAACCAAATTTAATAGTAGTTATCTTTATTTTAATTTATACTTTAAGTGCTTCCTTCATTCAGTAAAAAAAGTGAAATTTCCCTCAGGTGAGAAAAAAAAGAATGATTTTCACCTTGGGTTCAATGCAGCATATGCCATGATTATGACCGAGACGTTGTTCAATATGTAGGAAAGGTGATTAGGAAAACAAATTCTGTGCTATGCAAAAGACAGTGAAATTTAACTTCCTACCGGATATGTTAGCCAATGGAAAACAATGAAAACGATGTGTCTTCTGTAGGTTATTATGAATTGTCCAGGTTTATTTTATTCACCTCTGAAATTTTTACTGAATTTGGTAAAGATCAGCTCTCCCAGGCACTTCTGTGGAACTTCTCTTTACGTTTTCTAAGTTACTCTTTCAAAATGAAATATTCAGAAACTTGGAGACACAAATCTCAAAGACATACTGTATAATTACTTGGTGATGTTCTTACTATACTTGTTCTGTGATTTATCCTAGCTGAACAGGACTCTTTTTAACACTGTATTGGGTACATGTGGAATGGCAAGTAACATATTTCATGACTAAACAAAGAGTTACTGCAGACAATACTACACTGATACCAAAATACACATAGAGATGTGTATGGCTTTCTCACTTCAACAATTCTGATAAGTTTCCATTGAAAAGAAGTCTATTTTCTCTGTCTCCTAAAATTCTCTGTTACTCCTCCCCAGAGCTTCTTCCTTTGAACAGAGCCACAAAGACTGGGATACATGACAATCAAGTCCCTGTATGGACTGACAGCACACATGTGGTTACCAGCTACTACATAGCACCGTGTGTGTGTGTGTGTGTGTGTGTGTGTGTGTGTGTGTGTCTATCTGCAAATATAACGCATTTTTATTGACTCAAGAGGTAAATATATGCAACTTTATCAAACACCTTCTTCACCAAATATTTATTGACCACCTATGTTGTGACAAACTCTGTATTTTTATCTTTCCCCCAAAAAATGCAGATTAAAAAACATTTTTTATTAATTCCCCATAGTAATTGGGAAATATTGGTAGAAAGCACAGAGTATGACCAGTAGTAAAAAGGAAACTACAGTCTGGCCTCAGCCTGGCCACTGACCACTTCTTGTGACTCTGAGAACTTCCCTTTGCCTGTTCGGTCTCAATGGTTTCATTTGTATAATGAAGGAACTAGACCAGGCAATTTCTTTAAAAAATCCCTCCAAGTACAAAATGCCACAGTTCCAAATATGGAAGTATTTTATAATGTTGGTAACTGGCAAAAATAGTACTGCTCCCAGAAGAACGAAATGATATTGATCTCATTTAGGTTATAGGCATTCCTATGTGAGAAGAAGGCAAATATCACACCTCCATCCACCCCCTCAAGAATCTGAGAGCCTAGGCAAAGAGAAATCAGGCATTCACAGAAGTACTGTGAAAAAAAACAAATTTGAATGACCACAAACATTTTGCAAATGTAATACGATATAAAATACAAATAGCAAATCATTGCTCCTTGTCTACAGTTGCCGGGAAATAAGAATTCCCAACTTCCAAACTATTACCTCTGCATGGATCTGCCAAGGTTCCGATTCCCAGTGGCCTTTACAGTGTGGCCAGCTGGAACCTACATCTGACCAACAAGTCTTTCTCTTAATATCCCTGTCAAAAACATCCTCGACAGGAAGTTAACTTTTTAAGAATGTCAATAAATGAAGAAAGTTGGCAGTTTGGGCTGTTGCCAGTATTAGGCTTACAGGCAAAGAAAATAAATGGTGTGAATCTATCAAGATGTGGCAATTTCTCTGATATGTGACATCTGCTTTACTGTTTCTTTTTCTTTCCTTTTTTTTTTTTTTTTTTTTTAATGAGAATGCACTAACTGAAAAGAATCCTTTTTAAACTGACAAAATAGAGGACACATCCTCAGGGCAAATGGTTTCTAAGACAGTGTTTGAATAAAACATATACATAAACCTTTGGCTGGATCACCGAACACTGATACCTTCCACTTCAATATTTTGGCTAGTATTTGGTTGGGCTGAAAGAATTCTTCCACACACACAATAAATTGTTACAGATTCAGAAGTTTAAATAAGCAAATAAGTAAAATGATTAAAGGATTCCATAAACCTACCATCCAGAGAGGAACACATTTAACACCTTGTTTGTCTAGTCCCTAAGATGTACAGATACATTATATATATTTATATGTATATTCATATGTTAAGTCCATCTCATACTCCAGACATACCAAGGTGTGCCAAGAGCTGCAGAGATCATTATGCTGGCACCCCTGTGTGCAAATCTGTGAACTACGGCACCCTGTTTGGGAAGCTCTACTCTACACTTCCATACATTTGAGTTTCTCAGAAACAAGCATCATCGACATGGCAGCAAAGAAGCTTCATTTCTTGGAAAGTTCCCATGTTTCTTGTATCTGTCCCTCACTTCCACAGAGCTGGCATGAGTTCAACTAGCATACGTTTAGCTGGAGTCTGCATAAATGACGGGGAACATAGAATTTCCTCACCGCCCAAGTCCCATTAAAAAAATAAAAGCATTGTAATCGTATCCTTGCTAACCCGGATCTCTTCTTGCTTCCTCAGATACTTGCACCAGGATGGACAGGCCCAAATTTGTGGCCTTATTAACTGTGGTGCCCTAGGAAGGGAATGAAGGAATGTTTTCCCGAACGAGTCTTTCTGATGGCAGAAGTGGGGAAGCAGGTGCTGGAGGCAGGACCCATTCACTTCAGCTCCAGGAACACAGGTGCCATGCACAGCAAAACCAGCTGTGGCTTCTGCCCTCCAGGCGCAAACGTGGAAACTGACACATACATGATTATAATCAACGTGGGAAGTAGACAGTGCTTCTCTAATTGGTTTGTGCTTCCCCAAATTCCTTCAGGGTAGGGACCGCATATTCTATCATTTGCCTTTCCTCAATGGGAAGCACAGTTTGGGGCCCAGAAAAGGTGTTGGGGGGCTCTTGGTTGGTAGACTGACTTGATGCTAAACTGCAAAGGCAGAGGAGATAAATTCCCTTCACAGCCCCAAAGGTCTTTGGTTATGTTAATTACTCCTACCTTCCCCTAACAAATGGCTAGGGTGTCACAGAAAGAGGGCCCAGAGGGCTCTTTAATTGCAGTGGCCCATCTCATCCCATTACTCTCACCACTCAAAGGCGTTTCTAATCCAAAGGCAAAATACAGTGTCTCCAAACTCCAGGGAAAGAACAGAGAGGAACACATGTTGTCAGTGGCAACCAAACTTAGCTTCATCATGAATCACTGTGGCCTCATTCTGACAGGTCCAGTTGCAGCCTAGCCCTAGATCGCACCAAGCAGTGACTCAGCTACAATGAAACTTCAGATGCTATTTTTAAGGGGGGCTCGCAAGGGGAAGGAGGGAGGTGTAGAAATGCTTTATTATTTTTTCCTGAATTTTTATAGCCTCAACTAAATCTAAATCTTTACTTTGAGACCAGAATTCTGGAAAAGTTAACCTGCCCCTGAAGTTATGTAACCCATGGTTTACTTTTTATATCACAGCTTGCCCGTTAAAGTCACAAACCATTTCCATGGCCAAAATCTGTTTGAGTAAAATTGAAAAGGGGAGTTTTCAGAAGAGTCTGGACCCAACGGAAGCAACTGTGGTACAGTGGGAGGAACACTGGCTTGAGAGGCAGACGGTTCTGCAGCTTGTAAGCTGCGTCACGGTGGGACTGAACGGCCAGGACGTGGCCAGGGGATAGTGAGGCTGAGGTGGCTGTCCTGGATAGAGTCTTAGGGCGGGCCACCACAGGCACGGGTGGGTGTGCCTACCCTGCTAGCTCTGCACTTTGGGTCGGTGAGGAAACCCCACCAAAGCCGCTTTAGATTCCACAGACTTCAGTGCTGTCTTCTCTTTACTCTTGCCTTCCCACTGAAGGGGCTTTGCTGTTCCCACGGCTACCGACTGATTCCTGTGTTCATCTACTCATCCTTCTCTGGACTTTTTCCAACTGCTACCTTCTCTTGAGCAATTAGCACAGTGCACATATTTCCAGAATGGAGACATGGTATTTTTGTGGAAAAGTAGGACAATGTCTTCCGCAAATGCACGTTCCTCACGATGATCGGAATTGTGTTTCCTCTCCTGGCAAGGTCCCTGTCTTCTGGGGAACAGTCCCCCTACAGTGATTTTTGGCTTATGTTCTTAGACACAAGCGATGGCTCAGAAGCCTCACCTCCCCGCGTTGATGCGATTTCTCCTGCGGGTGTCCCTGTAACATCTTTGGTAGAGCAAGCCATCCAGCTCAGAAGAGCTCTCATGAGGCAAAATCTAATCTAAAAACTCTTCAGTGGCAACATCTTTAAAGGTTAAACCATCCTCTGTAAACATGTGCTTGGTTCTTGGAGTAAGTCCTTTCCTATTTTTTCCAGAGCTAAGTCTTCCAGGCTGGAAGGCTTAGGAAGAAATAACGCCCAGACTGGCCCGACAGTGTTGAGTGGAAATGGGGCACGAGAAGGGGGAGCCTCACCATCTGCTGATAAATCCATTCATACAACAGTGACCTTGAACACCATAGTTCTTTCTGTAACACCAGGAAGTTCCGGCAGAAACAGAGGAGAGAACTGAGCAGAGCCCCAGCTCAACGCTGAGACTTCCTCTTGCTACACCACATTAATCCTATGCCTGAAGAGCTCATTAGCCAATCACTTTCATGAACAAACCCATCCAGCTCTGGGGACAGGAAGAGCAGAGACAGAGTGGGAGTAACTCTTACGTCATGCTCTGAAAGCTCGGCCATGAAGCCTCATTTTTCTGAGGTACTCATGGACACTGCAACTTCCTCCTCCTCAGCTTCTGGCCAGCAACAGGCCCTAAATTAGTTAAATTTAACTATAATAAACATGCTGCAAATGAATTATATTTAACTCCAACAGCCACCTCAGGGTTTGTCTGGAGATGAAATAATTTTAGCTTATGCTACCATAAGTCCCCCAACTAAGGCAGAAAGTAATTACCTAAGGATTTACTGTAATGAGTTCACTGACACTCATTATTCATTATAGTGTGTGAACATTCCAGTCTTTTATACAGTCAGGCATAGACTGCACACTGCTGAATATATAGTCTTGAGTGAGCACAATAAGGACACTAAAAATAAAAAGCCACCTGATTTCAGTCTTAAGAATTCGTAATAATTATGAAGAGCCCCGGTTGAAACTTTACACCATCAGTAGAACTGAGCCTGCTAAGAAAATGAACAATGTGATAAGCTTTTGGAGCGATGACACTGCATGGCAGCACTTAAAAAGTGTGCTTATTTAAAAAAAAAATGTAACTGGGCTTCAGTGCTGTGCATACTAATGAGAACTCATGTTTTTCTATCCATTAAAGCAGGATCCTACTCAGAAGCATTTGGTTAGAGGAAGAGACTGTTTCTAAAAGTACGTACAAGTAATAACTTGCCCAAAATGCCATTCCTTATAAAATATTATGATATTCTACATTTCATTTGCTCTGAATCATCTTGCCATTAAAAAATTCTCATTTATCTAGTCACCCCTCGTGATCCATTGTGCATCAGTTGTGGGCCAAGTACTATAAGCATAAAGAACAACAGGACATGGTTTCTACTCTCTAGAAGCTAAAAGTTTAGTAGGGGACACAAAAGTTTAGTAAGTAAATGTTTAGTAAGTAAAAATGTTTAGTAAGTAAATGATTTCCTGAATTGTGATATCCACAATGATCAGGGGGTGTACTGCCTGTTGAATATGTATTATCTAGTCAGTATTGATGTAACTTATTTGGGTGGAGAAATCTAAACAGGACTTGATCAAGGACCAAAGCAACTCTAGCCAACTTTGGCCACTGAATGTCCTCTGTATACTTGCGCACTCTGGGCATAAGCGCCTATGCTTGGCTGCATATATCATTAACACACTGCTGTTAACTTCTATGTAAGTGTTTATATCTTGCCTCATTCTACGAGAATTTTAAGGAGGCCTACGAAAGAAAATATACAACAAAATAATGTTTGAATATGAACAGAAATCAAGAATCAACACAAGAAATGGGATGTTATTGACACTTTTCTCATGTCAGACTCCATTCTGCCTACTTCTTCCCCACCCCCGTTCATAGGTCATGAGCTGTGCAAGCAGCTAAAGGGATCTGAAGGTGTGGGGTTAGAGGCAGGCAGAAGGGGTGCTTAAGCCAACTCAGCCTCTTCTCCTTCACCAGCTCCTCCAATAAGCCCAACTCCGGACAAGGCTCTGGGTGCTCTTGCAGGTGAGAAGGTGGTGCCGGCAGCCACTCCGCTTCACTCTCCGAATCTCAGGACCTCTGTTTGCCATCAGGAGGCCAAATGACTAGCAGGGCAGGATTTGGGAGCTCTTGACTTGGGCCTATAATACCACAGAACAGCATCAGAGCCCTCTCCTAATACACTGCAATATGATGAGCGAAAATATTAGCAAGTACAGGACTACTGAGATCAGGGAAAAGAGCAACACAACAGCAAGCCCTGGGGGCTGACGTATACGGTGGCTCTCCCCAGCCACAGTGAAGGAAAAATGGTCACTTACAAAACCCTTAAGGTCAAATTTACCCTTATCTTGAGGCACACTAACCCTTGGTGCTTAATTTTTAAAACATTTCCCACAAAAGGTTTTATAGGCAGCGGGGGGGTGGGGGGAGGTGGGCTGAGTGATAGGAATGGACAACACTCAACAAGCTTACTATGGGACCTGCGGGAGCAACTTTCTCTGTTTCTCAGGATCTGTTGATGGAATCCGAGGGCACAATGTTCAAGTACTGACCACAGAAGGCAATGGCATAGGAGGCCAGGATAACACGTCTGCTCCGTGTCAAGGAATGGCTCCTATTTTCCCATTCCAGGACTACTTTCTTAGGAGAAAGGGAATTAACATCTGTTTGTTTTTTCAGGGACTGCACTAGGTACCTTATATTGATTATTAAAATATAACCTTGAAAGCACTGTGCACTATTATCATCATTACAAGTGGTTAAAGCCCTTGAGGCCTAGAGAAGTTAAGAAACTTGCTCAACGTGGGCTGGGTGTGGTGGCTCATGCCTGTAATCCCAGCACTTTGGGAGGCCAAGGCGGGTCCATCGCCTGAGGTCAGGAGTTCGAGACCAGCCTGGCCAACATGGTGAAACCCCGTCTCTATAAAAATACAAAAAAAATTAGCAGGGCGTGATGGTGGGTGCCTGTAATCTCAGCTCCTCGGGAAGCTGAGGCAGGAAAATCACTTGAACACAGAAGGCGAAGGTTGCAGTGAGTCGAGATCACGTCATTGCACTCCAGCCTGGGCAACAAGAGACAAACTCCATCTCAAAAAAAAAAAAAAAAAAAAAAAACCCAAACACACAAAAAAGAAACTTGCTCAAGGTAACATAGCAATGAAGAGGTAAAACCTGGATTCAAACTTGGATATTCCTTCTAAGCCATCCATTTTTGCCTCAGCTGTTTCTACATAAAGAATAACAAATGTTTCGCCTGAATTAAACAGTAAAAAACATCTAAACCTCAATTCATTTAATTGAATGAAGTTCAGGAATTCACTTTCCCTCTGGTTTCTCTGGCTATTTGACCAGGGGACCAGCCATTTCAGTATCACATGGACACACGCAGATAACCCTAACAGTGTGCTGGGTGTCCAATAGTCATTCCCGAGCTTGAATTGGTATAGTATCATTCACATGAGCTGCTGCTGTCCAACAGTACAAGAGTGACAATAAATTAAATATTTGCTCATGTGGCTGCTTATAAGATACATATAAAACAGAAAATAAACCTCACATTATAAGCAAGTCATCACCATTTATAAGTAAAATTCAACATAGCTGAAGCTACTAAACCCCACATCATCCCTTGAGGGAAGAAAGCCTCTCATCTGTTTTCAAATTTAAAAACCTCTCATCTGTTTTCAGACCTACCATTTATTGTCGGTGTACACAGACTTCTGAAGGAGCTGAGCAGAGGAATGGTAAAGAGAACCTCTCTGACGGTGGGTATTAAAGGAAAGTGGGCTACGAAGTAATAGAGCAGGAGATTGTGGAAAAGCTCAGCAGCTCAGGAAACCCACACATCACACACAAAATCCCACATCGATGTTAGAAAGTGTTTCTCTTGCTCTAAGAGTCGATCACCAGCAGCCAAAATATTGTTTGAGGAAATAGCACCTGTCTTTTTCAACCCACTAAAGTTAAGATGTATTTACCCACTGTAAATGCAGCCAGAAAGAAATGTAAACTAACTGTTGCTAATACCTTTGCATGGCTGGGTCTCCACTTCCCCCTCTGCAAAATAACAGATTTGGACAGATTGTTCTAAGGGCTTATCCAGCTCTGATGTTCTAGAATTCTATGGGTTTGGCTGGATGGCTCCATGTTTGGTACTGATAGTGATTTTCTTAAGGGGTTATCTTTAATGCCAAATGATATTTTACTTTTCCCCCAAATTTTCATTTTGTTTATATTCACTTTGTTATATTCAACAAAGAATATAATCTTTTTTTTTTTTTCTTGAGACGGTGTCTTGCTGTGTTGCCCAGGCTGGAGTGCAGTGGCGTGATCTCGGCTCATTGCAGCCTCCACCTCCTGGGTTCAAGCGATTCTCCTGCCTCAGCCTCCTGAGCAGCTGGGACTTTAGGCATGCACCACCACACCAGGCTAATTTTCGTATTTTTAGTAGCGATGGGGTTTCTCCATATTGGCCAGGCTGGTCTCGAACTCCTGACCTTGTGATCTGCCCACCTTGGCCCCCCAAAGGGCTGGGATTACAGGCGTGAGCCACTGTGCCCAGCCAAATTTAATCTTTATTTTTATTTTTTAATTTTTATTTTAAGTTCAGGGGTACATATGCAAGTTTGTCATATAGGGAAACTTGTGTCATGGGGGTTTGGTATTCAGATTATATTGTCACCCAGGTATTAAGCCTAGTACCCATTAGTTATTTTTCCTGATCTTCTCCCTCTTCCCACCCTCCACCCTCCGATAGGCCCCAGTATGTGTCCATGTGTTTGCAACATTTAGCTCCCACTTGTACGTGAGAACATTCAATATTCGGTTTTCTCTTCCTGTGTTAGTTTGCTAAGGATAATGTCCTCCAGCTCTGTCCATGTTTCTGCAAAGGACATGATCGCATTCTTTTGTATGGTTGCATAGTATTCCACGGTGCATATGTACCACATTTTCTTTATCTCGTCTACCATTGATGATCCTTTAGGTTGATTCCATGTCTTTGCTATTTTGAATAGCAACGAATACACATGTGCATGTGTCTTTATAATAGAACAATTTATATTCCTTTGGGTGTATATCCAGCAATGGGATTGCTGGGTCAAATGTTAGTTCTGTTTTTAGGTCTTTGAGGAACTGCCACACTGTTTTCCACAGTGGTGGACCTAATTTACATTTGGATATGATCTTAACCACATTTTAATTATTTTGTCTGTTTGTCTGTCTTTGCCTCCAGTGTCTAGCACTGTGTAGGCCTGGTATACAGCAAAACTATCATGTACTATTTATTAAAATAGCACTGCTCTCTCTCCTTGCAACTGGAAGGTTTCCTGGAACTTTAGGCACTGTGTAGTTCTTCTATAGTCAGGCTGGCTGCTCTCCTGACTTGAACTCCTGGCAGTGGAGGGGCAGGTTGGTGGCATTTCTTTCAACTCAACGCAAATTCAGGGACCTGCAGTGGCCATTAACCAGCAAGTGTTTACTGAGCATATTTCTGTGCCTGACACTACATAAAAAGCAAAACAAACAATATTGTTGACTCTTACTTATGTTTCTTTTAGTTAGGAAATAAATATTCTAAGTTAGTTGAGGGAGTTACTGGATTCTTCCTTACACAGCCCATCATTCCTGGCACTAAGAACTGCACACATGAGGTACCCAGTATTTTGGGTTTAGTTGAGTTCAATGAACCAATAAATACCATAGTCTTTTCAAGTGCGGTACGCTAGACCTGCTATGCTAT